>NC_000008.11:13496466-13799496 GCF_000001405.40 Homo sapiens | reverse complement strand
CAATGTTCAGGTTTAAACATGTTTGCTTAAACATGTTTGTTTAAGACAGGAGAGTCTAGGCAAAAGAAAAATGGATTTGAGACTTCTCAGCATACAAATGGAAATTAAATACAAGGGATTAGAACCCAAGAAAGTACCAACTGAGTGTAGAGAAGGAGAAATGTCAAAGGAGCCTGAAAAATTGCTGAGAGATAGAAAAAAGTTCATATAGGTATGGTGTCAGGGAAGTGAAGAAAAGGATATATTTTTAAAAGCAGTGAGTAGCCAGTAATGCTGAGCCCTGATAACAGATCAAATAATCAAAAAACGCCCCTTGCATAGCAACAAGAAGAACAGGGTGACTTAGGCTAGAAGAGTTTCTATGCAACAGCACTGCCCAATAGAACATTTTCAGATGACAGATGTTTTATATTTGCACTATTCAATATGATAGCCACATGTGGCTATTGAGCACTTGAAATGTGGCTAGCAATGCTAAAAAACTTAATTTTAAATTTTACTTGGTTAATATAAATTGCACGTCACTAGTAGCTGTATATTGGAGATCACAGACGGATTATGGGGAAAATGTCAGATTTTAGGAGACTGAAGAGTGAAACTGATCATTATAGATAACTTGTTCATGAAGTTGCTTCTAACGTAGACTGGTGAAATGATTAGAACCCGGTAGGGAATATGAGGTTCAGAAAGGGTGAAGTTAGATGTATTGATTGACTGATTGATTGGAGATGGAGTCTGGGTCTGTCGCCCAGGCTGGAGTGCAGTGGCGCAATCTCGGCTCACTGCCACCTCTGCCTCCTGCGTTCAAGTGATTCTCCTGCCTCAGCCTCCCGAGTAGCCGGGACTACAGGCACAAGCCACCACACCCAGTTTGTTTGTTTGTTTGTTTTTTGTATTTTTAGTAGAGACAAGGTTTCGCCATGTTGGCTAGGCTGATCTCAAACTCATGATCTCAAGTAATCCACCTGGCCTTGGCCTCCAAAATTGCTGAGATTACAGGTGTGAACCACTGCGCCCAGCCTACATCAACTTTAGAATGTTCAAATGACAAGGAGCCAGGGGGAGGGAGAATTTGAGACACAGCATAGTGGGAAGGGCTAAGGGACTGATTTTATGTAAAATGAGAACAGCTGTTTGATTATCCTCAAATGAGAAAACAAACATGAATCAATAGAGGTCAGTTCACAGATTTGGTGACAGCAATTAGAGCAATTGCTATTTAGAGTATTCCATTTACTTCGCATAGTATGAAGAAAGGTCATCTTCTGAGAGAGTGGAGGAAGGTGATGGAGCCAACGGAGAATGTTCTGTCTGCCTAGCTGGCTCACCTGAGTTCCCCCAGGCTGGCTCACACATTTGCCACACAGGTATCTGACTGGAAAGCATGCTGTAAAGAGCAATGAAAGACCTGTCTGCCTACAAAGATCCCCCTGAGGGACCTTGATCTCCCCTGTATTTCCTGCCATTTGAGTCAATCCCTGTGATCCTTTTGAGAAAACATTTATTTCAGTTAGGGTAAGACATGAAATGAAGGACAAGCATTTATTTGCCTCACATTAAGAACAATTACTTTATCTAATTAACCAACAGATATTGCCACAAAATACCAACCAGGGAAGAAGAAAGAGAAGTTTCTGGTCTTGCAGGCTTCTGGAACCCACCAAGTTCTAGGCACGTGGCTGGTCAGGACACAACCCTGATCTTGAAAAGCATAAACTAGAACACTTCCAAAAGAGAGAGACAGAAAAAGGAATGATGCTAAAACGTGGCTCATCTTTCTTGAGACGGAGTCTCGCTCTGTCGCCCAGGCTGGAGTGCAGTGGCGCGAGCTCGGCTCACTGCAAGCTCCGCCTCGCTGGTTCACGCCATTCTCCTGCCTCAGCCTCCCGAGGAGCTGGGACTGCAGGCGCCCGCCACCACGCCTGACTAATTTTTTGTATGTGTAGTAGACACAGGATTCCACTGTGTTAGCCAGGATGGTCTCCATCTCCTGACCTCATGATCCACCCGCCTCGGCCTCCCAGTGTGCTGGGGTTACAGGTGTGAGCCACCGCACCCGGCCCATAACTATTCTTAAAGATAATCTTACGTTACATGTGGCACATTCTACCTATCCATTATCTACTCTTCTTAAAGCTCCTTCCAAGGTGACAGTTGTTGTGGAACTAAATTCACAGATAATAGATGTGGCAGGGTTGGGAGGAAATTACATAGAGCTGTTGAAGTGGCTTATAAGAGCTGCCATGGAAGAATATCAAACTGATGCAATCAACTTTTACTATAGTTAAATGCAAGGGTAAAGACCAACAGTGCAAAAGGAGTATGAAATGTGACTCCAGTAAAAAGCCCAGGTGGGAAGAGTGAGGGCAACACAAGGACTTGAAGGACAGATTCTGAAAACCTTGTAAACAGGAGCTAGAATTCAAGTTGAAATGTCACAAGAAGGGCAGAAGAGGGGTAAGCCCAGAACCCCAACAGGATCCTACTCTATAGTTCAACTCAATTCCAGTTGCCATTTATTGGCACTCACTCACAGCATGGCACAATCCTTCTCATAGTTCCAAAGGCAACTATGGCACCAGGAAAAGGAAAAGACCAGTGAACAACCAGGATAAAGAAAAGTTAATACCCATGTTGTTCAAGTGCAATAAGCACATGTAACTTTCCTTTGGACCTAGAATTAACAATTGCAAATTGAAATGTGAAAACAGCACTTAGCCCCCACAAACTCAAGCAATAAAATGTGATGCTAATAAAACATTATTTTAAATTCTATTTAGTTAAGATTTTATAAGGAAGTAGTTAGAATTTTTATCAGATTATCCTGGTTCAAGAATGTAGTTAAAATTATTTAATAGAATTAACCGAAGCTTAGTGCAAGCTTCCCCTTCACTTTACAACTGCCCTGGCTCTAATTTTTCTTTCCTTTTTTTTTTTTTTTTTTGGTAATTTGTTATTTATTCCAGAAATTTAAGACAGTTGCACCCTAAAGCTTTGCTTTGAAAAAATCATCACTGAAGATTAGTAACAAACCCATGCACTACACATTCTAGAAGATTAAAACTAAAAAAAAAGAAGATACTTTCCTCTTATACTCACTGAAAACCAAAATATTCATGTCCACTACCAATGTCCATGATATGTGTTTTCAAGCATACTCCTAATGAGTAAGCCATAAAACTGTTTATTGTTTTTTGTATTTTTAAGTTATATGTTTTCAACCTGATTAACGATGATGAGCATGCTAATAAAATCTAGTCTGAAGAAATATGGTAATAAATTTGTAAACTTCAGTGTCAATAAGTTTCTAACTCAACAGCTTCAGCTCAGCTTCTATAGGTCACAATCCTACAGGCCCATGAAAAAAGTTTTCTCTTTAAGAACTTTGCTGAGTATGACATTTTGAGCTCAGGGCAAAACTGGTACACAAGTAATCATGTTAATTTGATATGGTTACGTAGGCAACATTTATAACGTCTATGAAGCCTTCATTGAGAAGAAATGCCTTCACTAATTATGAACATTTATGGAAGCATGTCCACATTTAATTTTTGTACTTAATTATAAACTATTACTATTTGTAAATTTCTTTATAATTACCACATTCACAGTGCTCTTGTTCCATAATATTTCTCAGTTGGTGATTCTGGCAAATTATCTCGAAGACTTCCCAGGAAAATTCCTGCTTTACTACATCACTAATATTTAATGCATAAATGTTTCTTTCACTCTATGGAAGTCCTCTCCTTCTATAATGATTTGCCTATATATGACATTACCTCAATGTAATGGTCTACAAATCTGTTACTTACTTGCAGCGTTACAAAACTTAGCTAATAGAAGTATTGCATGGAACATACTTGTAGTGGAAATTTATTGCTTATCTAAAATTTAAGTTAAAATAGGCATCCTGTATTTTGTCTGTCAACCCTAATTATTTGATTTTTTTATCAATACTGTGCATAGACTTTCATCTTATGAGTTCTTAGTGGTTTTCATCTAACAGATTACCAACGTATAAACTCTTGCGCCCTTAACTTTTAGGAACTACCCCTAAAAGAGTTATGCCAGACAGATTTTATATATAGAAATCTAAGCAGAAATATTTCTCTGTTCTTCAAGTGGGACACATCACATCGTTTCCTCTAACTTCTCTCTTGAAGAAACTTCTGTTTCTCAAAGATTTGATGGCTTACATTTCCCCCATTTTTAACAGGAAAATCACGTATTTTCCCAACACCTGTGATGGTATCCTTGAAGATTCCTTATTAAGCTGTCACTCAAATATCTTAAGGACATTAGATTTATATAATTCTACACATCATTTTTTTCAGACTACGTTTGAGATCATTCAGTCATTTTCTATTCTCCCGGAGTAGGTGGGTGGGACAGAATAATCTATGAATGTATCTACCAAAAAGAGAAAAATAAAGAGAGAAAGGGAAAGAAACAATGTAAAATCAACTCTCATAGCCTTAACTTTTCAGAGCATATTTGAAAATATAGCAATAAGGGGGCAAAAGCATGTGAACAAGTGTGGCTGACTATATTAGTCTATTCTCACACTGCTATGAAGAACTGCCAGAGACTGGGTAATTTATAAAGCAAAGAGGTTTAATAGACTCACAGTTCTGCATTGCTGGGGAGGCCTCAGAAAACTTACAATCATGGCGGAAGGCACCACTCCACAGGGTGGCAGGAGACAGAATGAGTGCCAGCAGGGGAAATGCCAGATGCTTATAAAACTATCAGATCTCGTGAGAACTCACTGTCAGGAGAACAGCATGGGGGAAACCACCCCCATAATTTAATTACCTCCCAGTGGATGTCTCCACACATGCTGATTATCGGAATTACAATTCAAGATGAGATTTGCATGGGAACACAGCCAAGGCATGTCACTGACCTAGTAATAATTTACGTAACTGTACTTAAGCAGTGAATCTTATTGGCTATATATTCATTGGTACATAACATATATATCCATATAATATCATATATAGCCAGAGCTGCAGTGTGTGTGTGTGTGTATGTGTGTACTTATCAAACCTGCCTGTGGTATATAAATGCTGCCCAAAGAGGCTGTATAAATGAATAAATGCAAACACACATACATTCATACATACATAGCATCTTTAAAATCCCTAAAACAATTATTTGTGCCATGCAATTTAACAATTATTTATACATTATTAATACTTTGTAAATTGGTTTATAGAAGTCAGTTTGAATCCTTCACTTCAAACTAGTTTGACATTGCAAGAATCACAAGAAAGAATGAGACCACTAAGACCGTCAAGCTGAAGGCGAGAGCAACAAAATCAGAGGCCAGCTAGGGATTGGACAGCAAAAGAGACTTGGCAAGGTAGGAAAATCAGCTTCATGTGATATGTGTCAATCCTGGCAGTAAGATCCATATACAAGAATAATGGAAAAGTACTTACTTAATGCACATAGTCATGAGAAGTAGATTGAAAGTTCATGGACAAATGTGATATAAAGACCAGCCAAAACTACAAAATAAGGCAGTGCTACTGTTGGAAAGTAATTGAGAGACACTGACTCATATGAATGGTCACTAGTCATCATGGAGAAAATTAGAAGGTCTAGTTTCCTGCTTCTGCGCACATTTTCATCAGTTTTAAAGACACACTCTTTGCACACAATTTACTTTTTTAGATTCCACCACATCCAACATGTTAGTACATTAAGTAAATGTTGGCTATAGATAGATTAATATTCATGTTTGCATTCTCACTATATGCTACTTCTGTTTTCAGTGAGTTCTGCAATTTATATTGCAACAATAATTCACATGGCAACTTTAATGTATTACCTTTGGGTGTTTTCTGCAATATAAAGTCTTGCTGAAAAATAAGTGGATAAAAACATATAAATCAAGCACATATCCATCCCTAAAAATAATTACATATAACACATTTTCTTGTCTAGTTTAATGTATCTCTACATGTTGCTGTGGTAATTGCTGACATTAAATGGAGGAAAATACAATCCTTTGTAATATGTTAAGATGCTCGATGAAAATATGTGTTTTACCTAGGCAAAATTAATGTGCATTAAGTAATTCAGCTGTATCATAGATCTAGGAAAAAAAGATGGCGTACATAAATATTCAACAAAACTGAGATAAACATTGAGGTGATGCTGTCCAGCCCGGAATGTACTTCAGTTTGACAATGATGTTCTTGCTGTTTCTAGTTTGTCACTTTTTAATTACTGGTTTCATTTCAAACTATAAAAATCTTGAAATCAGAAGAACTTTGAGGCATTAAGAATTGGCTATGTGACATCCAGATGAAACCTGTCTTAATTTGGCAGCAGAATGCCATCAACTGCGTAATAAATGATGATGGCCCCCACACATCCCATAGAGTACTACCTGTTATAAGAGGAAGCATCTGCTCACTTTAGCCATCAGGAAAGTTTTGGAGCTTTTCCATTTACCTATTTATATTATTTAGCTATGTTTGTAAATATATTTATACTCCCTGATGGGACCAGTTTGGTTACATGGACCATTTGGGAGGTAAAGAAAGTTTAAACTGATCGTAAAAGTTTCATTCCAGATAAAGGGATATGTCACTCTTTATAAGAGCCAGAGATTGAATAATTTTAGATTCTAACCCATAATAATCAAATCACACTGTCATTTTCTATTTGATAACAGTGCTGTTTAATAGTGTTGTGGTAAAAATCAAAGTTTAAGGTAAGGGCAGAAATGGTGATCAATGACATTGTACAAGAAAAATAATCCTTGGAGAATGAATACAAATAATGCTACTGACCATTATGTAGAGCGCACCACATGTCAGATACTGAGCTTTCTACTTCACAGAAGTGAGTTTACTTAAACTTCCAAACAACCCACAAAATGGGCATTGAGAGCGTTATTGTGCATGTGGGAAAAGTGAGTTTTAAAGATATTAGCTGGGTGGCTTTCTGTCATATGCTGGTAAGTAGTAAAGCCCAGACCAAACCCAGGGTAGAGACTCCATAAGCCAGTATTTTTGAGCATCTATTGGTTGCCATTATCATCACATTGGCTGTGGCTCATGTGGCTGTGTTATCGCTTCATTTTATTTCTTTTCTCCACTTACCCAGTATGCCAATTTTCATAAGCAACCTAAAAAGTGTTCAAAGACGAAGTCATTTCATCCTCTTCTGGATGGAATGAGGAAACTAGCAGGATCCATTTGTCATTCATACAGTTTTTCTCTAAAACCACTTGTGACGCTGGGTAACAGTCCCCAGATGGAAGTCATTAAAGTTTAATTTGTATGCATATGTGACATCTTGCTTTTCAAAATCTTTTTGACTTTACTCTATTACTGAAACTAATTGATATGTATGAAAGATAGCTAATTAAAATGAGTATAAAGCGGTTTTCTCCAATATAAAGCATGCTATAAAATGCTAATAGAACTATAAAAATAGATGCAAAAATCTGTCAATTATAAAATTAACTTCAGATGGGGAAGCAAATATCATTTATCCTTTACAATGTCCAAATAAATGACTTATTTGGCATCTAAAATTCCTTTTTGTTTAACGTTAATAAAATCTCAAGAATAATAATTGTCTTTTTATAATGCTAACCAGAATAAAATTTTGAAGATTATCATAGTAGTTCTAAATCAAATTTCTAAAAAAAAGTGTAAATAGCTAGTGGCTGTGAACATATCTTTGTTATGATTAAATAAATTTAAATCGCTGCTTGGCACATCATTATCAGAAAGAAAGTTTGTTTCTTGCCCTCATGAGCAACTTATGGTTGGATGATGGGGACAAAAGGATGCTGTGTGGAGGAGGTACCCCTTTACCAGTGGAAGCAGCTACAGTGAGTAAACCTGGGCAGGACTGATGCTGTCAGATGTCCTTGGCTATAAAGAGTCAGGGGAGGTAGGCTGAGGGAGGCCACACTCATAAATGGGAAGACACAAAGGCTCTTCTCATATTCATTGCGTAGACACAAAAGAATAAAGAAATTTTTTGCTTTGTTTCTGTACATCCCTTGAAGGAAAGATTAGAAAAGGCAGGCCTCAAAGGTAACAGTGTTTTAAATATACTTAAATTGAACTATTCACTGTATTTCTGAATGTTCTCATAATTTTATTATATTTTAAAATTAGGGTCATATTTCAAATACATGTTCATGTAGGTAGAGTTCATTTATTTACTAATTGTATTCATTCTTCCAAAAAATATCTATTGAATGTATACAATATGTCAAACAAATAATATTACCCTTTGACAACAAACTAGCCTCTTTATGGTACCTGCTGTCATGGAGTTCACCATAAAATGGGGAACACAGGTATTTTACATATAATTACAGGTGTTCCTTGACTTACAATGGTGTTAGGTCCCAATAAACCCTTCATAAGGTGAAAATATTGTAAGTTGAAAATACGTTTAATATATCTAACCTATGAAAAAATTATAGCTTAGCCTAACGACCTTAAACATGTTCAGAGCACTTATATTAAACTATAGTTAGGCAAAATCATCTGGCACCATAATCCACTGTGGAGTATTGGTGGTTCACACTCATGATTGTGTGGCTGACCGTGGGCTGAGGCTCAGTGCCACTGTCCAGCATACTGAGAGAGTGTCATACCGCATGTCGCTAACCTGGGTAAAGATCAAAATTCAAAACTGGAAGTATGGTTTCAACCAAATGTGTATTGTTTTTGCACCACGGTAAAGTGAAAAACTCGTAAGTCAAACCACCATAAATTGAGGACCATCTGTACCTAATAGTTTGAATTTAATTTTGATGAGTTCAAGAATAGAGTGCAGCACAATTCTAAAATGGAAACCCTGACCAATCCTGAAAATCACCATTCATTAATTGCAATGCAAAATTCAGATGGAAGGAAGGCTGTTGTATCCTGCAGGATGGGAGCAGCCGGAGGAGAATTTAGGAATGGAAAATTTTTAAGTGACCCTAAAGACATAGAAGAATTAAGTGTGACAAGTTCTTCTAGCTTCATTGTTCACCATGTAAAAATTTCTAGCTAGAAAAAAATAAAATCTGATAACAAAATTTTTATTTATATCTATTAGGAAAACAAGATAAACTAACACTGTTGGGGAAGAGTAACTTTTTTTTTGTTTGTGTGTTTTGAGACGGAGTCTCACTCTGTCATACAGGCTTGAG
The DNA here is from genome assembly GCF_000001405.40 of Homo sapiens. Taxonomy (NCBI): domain Eukaryota; kingdom Metazoa; phylum Chordata; class Mammalia; order Primates; family Hominidae; genus Homo; species Homo sapiens. Next base: position 13,790,315 of record NC_000008.11, on the reverse strand, counting down.
TGCAGAGGTACGATATTGGCTCACTGCAACCCTCACCTCTGGGGTTCACGCCATTCTCCTGCCTCAGCCTCCCAGGTAGCTGGGAGTACAGATGCACACCACCACGCCTGGCTAATTTTTTTTTATTTTTAGTAGAGACGGAGTTTCACCATGTTACCCAGGATTGTCTCGATCTCCCGACCTCATAATCCGCCCCCCTCGGCCTTCCAAAGTGCTGGGATTACAGCCGTGAGCCACCGTGCCCAGACAGAATAACATATTTGTTCTAGCTCTGGGATTATGGGTCCCTAGATTTTCTTTGAGAAAGGGCTACACATTTTTCTATAGCTTCTCAACACTTCTGATGAGCATATTGTGGCAAATGCTGACAGTAATGTTCAAGAGACAATGGGACAGAAAAAAAGAAAACTTTTTTTTAGTAGAACCTGATCAGGAACATCAGAGCCAGTAATGACTGCGCTTCCCTCTTCACTGAGAAGGCCAGGAAATCAGGAGAAGGATGTGGCTCAAACAGAGGCATCCTGAGGTAATTATCACAGCGTTTTAAAATATGGTGCCTGCATCTACAAGCTACCAAATGAAATTCTTCCAGAGAGAATTTTATTAATATTGAGATCAGCAGCCAGGTTTCTTTAATATTACTATGTAAAATCACAATACCCATTTGGTTTTCATATACTGATTAAATCTGGGATTATGCCATGAAATTCTAAATCCTGAAATTACTTCCTCAAAATGGCTGGTTTCCTATTTTATGAGCACACAGACATTATGCATTTAAGGTAAGCCCAAACAGTGCTAAATAATCTTCACCAACTTTTTGTTGGGAACTAATGAATTGGGACAATTGGGAGACCTGGGATATATGAACATATAAATATTTCAAAGATGAAAGTTCAGTGTCATCTAGCTATCCTTGTGATCCTTTAGCATCATGACTGAAAATGATTTGACATTTGTTTTCTCACGTCAGCAGATAAAGAAGAAAACATATACATTACACATGTGTGTGTGTATATATATATATATATATATATGGAGAGAGAGAACCTTGACAACATAACATATACAGAATTTTGAAGACAGAACATATATAGAATCAGAATATATATATATATAAAATCTTAATGATAGAACATCTGTATACAACTTGGTTTACTAAATATTTTAAGTCCACTGTTGAAACCTACTGCTCAGATAAAAAGATTAGTTTCAAAATCATGCTGTTTGCTGACAATGCCCCTGGTCACCCAAGAGCCTTATGGAGATGTATAAAGTAATTAGACATTTTCATGCCTGTTAACACAATATCCATTGTGCAGTCCATCGATAAAGGAGTAATTTTTACTTTCAAGTCTTATTAGTTAATAAATATGTCTCATAAAGCTAAGTAGGCGTAAGTAGTGAGTTCTCAGATAGATTGGGTAAAGTCAACTGAAATCCTTCTGAAAAAGATTCACCCTTCTAGATGCCCTTAAAGAACATTCATGTTTCATAGGAGAAGGTCACAGTAGCAACATGAATAGGGTTTGAACAAAGTTGATTTCAATCCTCATGGATGACTTTGAGGGTTTTAAGGCTTTAGTGTGGGAAGAAACTGCAAGTGAAGTGGAAATAGCAAGAGAACTAGTAGCAGAGCCTAAAGATAGGACTGAATTGCTGCAATCTCATGCTAAAACTTGAAGGGATGAGGAGCTGCTTATTATGGATGAGCAAAGAAAGTGGTTTCTTCAGATGGAATCTCCTCCTGGTGAAGACGCTGTCAACACTGTTGAAATGAGAACAAAGAATTTAGAATATTGCATAAGCTCAGTTGGTAAAGCAGCATCAGGATTCAAGAGGATTGGCTTCAATTCTGAATGCTCTACTGCAGGTAAAAAGCTATCAAAGAGTATCGCAAGCTACAGAGAAGTCTTTCATGAAAGGAAATATCAATCAATAGCACAAACTTCATGGTTGTCTTCTTTTAGGAAATTACCACAGCCAACCCAAACTTGAGCAACCACCATCCTTATCAGTCATCAGCCATCAGCAGAGAAAAGACCCTCTACCAGCAAAAAGATTACAACTCTGAAGACTCAGATGGTGGTTAAAAAGCTTTAACAATAAATCATTTTTTAAATTAAGATTTTTTAAGATATAATACTACTGCACACTTATAGTATAGTTTACGATATTTTTATGTGCACAGGGAAAGCAAAACATTCCTGTGACTTGATTTTTTGTGATATTCCCTTTACTAAGGTAGTCTGAAATCTCTGAGGCATGCTTGTATAGAAAGTATAAATAGCAGTGTTAGATTTTAGTTCTCTGTTTTTTTTAGTACGTTTTGTTTTGAGGCCATGATAGCTAATATTTAATGAATCCTTACTATGAGCAGGCAATGCCTAAATGCTTTCACACAAGTTATCGCATTTATATGTCAAAACAATGAGACACTATTGTTAGACCCATTTCATAGGTGTGAAAACTGAGGTTTTGAAAGGCTACATCATCACACAAATGGTTAGGAAAGGTGACTCACTCTGTAAGTCACTTTGTGATATTTGTTTTATTGTGGGGGTCTGGAACCAAACCCACAACATCACCCTAGTAGGCCAATATAAGAGTTTCTCAGCTGTAGAGCTGGAACCAAACCCACAACATCTCCCTAGTAGGCCAATACGAGAGCTTCTCAGCTGTGAGAACCCAAAGCTCATTTTGCTCACATCCCATAGCAGCTGTCTTCAGTAAAAACTTTCCAAGTGCTTTCTACCTTGGTAGCTCCCCAACTCAATTCAGCAGCACAGATGAAGTGCTTTTAAAATAGTCAGATCCATTCTAGTTATTTTCTTCTAAAAACAAGAAAAATGTCCTGAAAGGAATCTGGCTTGAGCCCCAAAAAGCTATCATAGAATTTATGTTTTAGTGCCTTTTTTTCCTACCTCAAAAGGACTACACATTCTTATCATGACTCAGACTTAAGTAGCTACCTGGGGTTGTTTTTTTAAGGATCTAATCCAAGTTCTGATTCTCATTTCCTCCTCTTTGGCTGACATTCTCTGTGTGATAGTTAATTTTATGTCAACCTAACTAGGCCAAGGGTTGCCCAGATAGCTGGTAAATCATTATTTCTGTTGTTTCTGGGAGGGCGTTTGTGGGAAAGATTAGCATTTAAATGGGTAGACTAAGATCACTCTGACCAATGTGGGTGAGCATCATCCAAACTGTGGAGGTCCCAAACAGAACAAATAGGTGAAGGAAAGGTGAATTTGCTAACTCAGCTTGAGTGGAGGCATCCCTCTTCTCCTTCTTGCAACATTGGCACTTCTGGTTTTCCAGTCTTCAGATTTAGCCACGCTTGCTGCCTTCTCAGGCCTTTGGACTGAGACTGGATGTTACACTACCAGCTTGCAGACAGCAAGTCATGAGACTTTTCAGCTTCTGTAAATAGCATAAGCCAATTCCTATAATACAGTATGGGTTAAGCGAAAAGAGTTTTTATAAGCAAAACTTGTCTCTGTGTCATTGAAGTAAAAGTCATGAACAGCAACCCTTCCCCCAAATCCTAATTTCTCTTCTATAAAACTTTTATTATCGACTAGCTACATAAGAGGCTTTGTACAAATAAAAGTTAATAATACACTCTCAAATAATTTACATTATACTGACAGTAAAAGTATTTCTTGAGTGTATATCAGTGAAGTTGTTATTTTATGTTCCTTATTGTGAGAGGGAGTTAGAGAAATAAGGAAAGGTATTATGTTTCAACACATTTAAGATGCTATAAATTTTAGGATGTACCATTAATTTTATGCATCAATAAGGGGGAAAACATCCACAGTTAAACCATGAAATATTGTTCATTATCTTATAAATTCTAACTAAAAATGCAATAAAATTTGAAAAATGTTTGTCTTACTATCAGTGAAACAAAGTAACTTGTTCAATGTTAAATATCTAGGGGGACTAAGGCTGTAGAAGCCCCGAGTGAAAACTTTCGCTGTATGTGACACTTCAAGGAGTAAGCTAGAGATGTTGGGCTGCCTTACAAAACAGTTGCCCAGGAAGGGCATTTATCTTTCAGATTCTCCCACAGTTTTAAGTCTGCCATCTGCATAACAACTGAACATTTTTATTTTATTGATGTCCCAGAGTTGATTGTCAAGTAGATGCTAATTTGTATAACTAAAGCTCGCACAATACTTGCTAGAAGGTCAACTTATTAATTTGTCAAGATAATTATATCATCCATTATTTGCTAACTGAATGAACCTGTCCAATTTATTTCTCCTCAGAAGCAAGTTTTATAGGAATACACATTTTCAGGAAGTTCCCGAGTTATCCAGTATTATTCACAGAATTGTGTCCCCTCAAATTTCATGTTGAAGCTATAACCCTCAGTACCTCAGAATGTGACTGTATTTGAAGATAGGACCTTTAAAATTCAGATTAAGTTCCTTATAAATTCTGGATGTTAGTCTTTTGCTGAATGCAAAGTTTGCAAATTGTTTTAGTCAGGGTTCTCTAGAGCGACAAGACTAATAGGATAAATGTAAGATGTACATATGAAAGGGATGTTATTAAGAACTATTAACTCACATGATCATGAGATGAAGTCCCGTAATAGGCCATAAGCAAGTTGAGGAGAAAGGAAGCCAGTCCAAGTACCAAAATCTCAAAAGTAGGGAAGCAGAGCGCACAACCTTAAGTCTATGGCTGAAGGCCTGAGAGCACCTATAAATCACTGGTGTAGGTCCAAGAGTCCAAAAGCTGAAGAACTTAGCGTCCCATGTTTGAGGGCAGGAAGCATGGGAGAAAGATGGAGGCCAGAAGACTCAGCCAATCTAGTCCTTCCCTGTTCCTCTGGCTGCTTTTATGCTAGCCATACTGACAGCTGATTAGATGGCGCCCTCCCAGATTGAGGGTCTGTCTGCCTCTCCCAGTCCATTGACTAAAATGTTAATCTCCTTTGGCAACACCCTCACAAACACACCCAGGAAAAATACTTTGCATCCTTCAACCCAATCAAGTTGACATTCAGTATTAACCATCAGACAAATATTTTCTCCCATTCTGTAAGTTATATGTGTACTCTGTTGATGGCTTCTTTTGCTACTGAGAAGCTCTTTAGTTTAATTAGGTCCTAGTGTGAATTTTGTGTGTGTGTGCATGTGTGTTTGCTTTTGAGATCGTATCATAAATTAGTTACCTAGGTCAATGTCCAGAAGAGTATTTCCTAGGTTTTCTTTTAGGATTTTTATAGTTTGAGGCCTTACATTTAAGTCTGTAATCCCTCTTCAGTTAATTTTTGTATATGGTGAGAGTTAGGGGTCCAGTTTTATTCTTAAATCAACAAGATAAAAACAACCTCATTAAAAAGTGGGCAAAGGACATGCACAGACACATCTCAAAAGAAGACATACAAGCAGCCAACTAACAGAAAGTACTCAACATCACTAATCATCAGAGGAATGCAAATAAAAAATCACAATGAGATACCATCTTAATCAGAATGGCTATTAGCAAAAACTCAAAAAATAAGAGATGTTTGCAAGGATGTAGAAAAAAGGGAATGCATATACAGTGTTGGTGGGAATGTAAATTAGTTGAGCTTCTGTGGAAAGCAGTTTGGATAGTGCTCAAAGAATTAAATCAGAACTACCATTGGACTCAGCAATCCCATTACTGAGTATACACCCAAGGATAATGAAATCATTCTACCAAAAAGACACATGCATTTATATGTCCACTGCACCATTATTCACAATAGCAAAGACATACAATCAACCTAGGAACCCATCAATGGTAGATTGGATAGACTGGATAAAGAAAATGTGGTACATATATACCATGGAATACTACACAGCCACAAAAAATCATGTCCTTTGCAGGGACATGGATGGAGCAGGAGGCCATTATCCTAAGAAAATTAGCATACACACAGAAAATCAAATACCACATGTTCTTACTTACAAGTGGGAGGTACATGTGGACATAAAAACCGAACAAAATAGATACTGGGGACTCCAAAAATGGGGAAGGATGGAGGAGGGCAAGGGTTGAAAAGCTACATATTTAGTACTAGGTTCACAAGAATATAAACCCAAACCTCAGCTTCAAGTGATATATCCATGTAAAAAACCTGTAAATGTACTTTCAGAATATATTTCTTTTAAGATTTAAAAAAAATAGGCTTCATAAAGGTGATTAAGTTTAAATTAGTCTTTTAGGGTTGGTTGTAACCCAATCTGTCTAGTGTCCTTTTAAGAGGAGGATATTTGGTCACAAAGAGACACTAGAGATGCCTATCTACACAAAAAAGACTACATGGGGACACAGACAAAAGGCAGGCATCTACAAAGCAAGGAGAGAAATTTCAGATGAACTGAACCTCTCACCACATTCACCTCGGACTTCTAGTTTCTCGGACTCTAAGAAAAACATATTTTTGTTGTTAAAGTTACTCATTCTATGGTGCTTTGTTATGACAGCCCTAGAAAACTAACACAACAAAGAAAAAGGAAAATGTAAATAGATATATGAAACAAAATTTTAATAGACGTAAGCTCTTTGAGTTGAGTCATCTATTTCTCCAAGTAGTCATATACTTGACTCTGAGACAAAAAATAGTATAAAAGTAATTGAAAGGGCTGATGGTATTTCAATGGGACTTCAAGTAGAATTTCTTTTGTAAAAAAGACATCAAAAATTGCGTTTGCAGAAAGCTCAGCCATGTACACTGCAGCTACATTCATTCCACTTTGTGAAAACCCTTAGAAAATCCGGTTAAGGGATTTTTGTACATTTCTAAATAATCCACTATGTCTTCATTTCCAGTATTTGCTCTTAGATATCATTTTTAATTTTACAATTTATCTCATACAATCTTTGCCCAATCTACAAAGCATGCATAGCTATAAGCCAACATAAGATAAACAACATAAACTTAAAGTGCTGTATCAAGCTTTGAGAGAGACAAAACTACTCAAGAGAATGATAAAAATAATCAAGAAAATGGTGATGAAGAATGGGCAAGATTTTAATAGGTGGGAATTTAGAGGTAAGTAATTTTAAACTTGAAGAAACCTCATAAATAAAAGGAAAAGGAAAGTATTGATTATAATCACATAACTAAATACATTGTTCCTGAACTGAATTTTAAAAATAAGAGAGTAGAAGCAGCTAGGCCTGAGGTAGAGGACATATTTTAAGCCCCGTGAACAGAAGGGAAAAAATTAATGTATTTTGGAAGACAAAAGAGCAAATGGTGATACGTCCATGCAGTGAAATATCACTCAGCACTAACAAAAAAGAAACCACTAATACATGTGACAATTGGATGAATCTCAAAGACATTTCTCTCAGTCAAAGAAGGTGGTCTCAAACAATTACATGCTGTATGATTTCATCTACAAGGCATTCAAAAAAAGACAAAACTATAGGGACAGAGAACAGACCACTAATTCTCAGCATTTAGAAACAGGGAAAATGTAACTACTAATAAAGAGAGCATAAAGGAGTTTTTGGGGTGATGAAACTTTTCTGAATCCATCACTTAGGACAGTTTATATAAATATCTGCTTGCACTAATATGTGTAGAATCATACAAGAAAATGAAAAAAAAGTTTACTGTATAACAATACTTTAACCAAAAATTATTTAAAAATATGTATTACAATACTTTCATCAAGGAATAGAAAATGGATGTGTAGACATTTAAAATTTAAAGAGAATTTACTAGATTAAGCTCTTAGTTTAAGAGAAGCTAAGAGACAGAGAGAAAGAAACGAAAGATGTTCAAAGGTTTAACCCTGGGCAGGTGGATAAGTAGTTCTTGTGACAGTAACACACATAAAAAAAAAGTGAACTAAGAGAGAAGATTTCAAGAGTACAAGAAAAAGGAAAATTTGGATTTAACATTTTTGCCTATTGGAAAATGCTCTTGAAATCAGAGGGTTTGGAAATATGGATCTGGGATGTAAAAGAGAATTTAAAAAGAGAGAACAAATTAAAGACATAGATTTTTGAGTCCACCTGCTTAGAAGAGCTAATTGAAGCATAATCTTGGAAAAGGTCACTCAGCAGGGACCACAAATGAACAGGATAATAAAATCTTGAAGGTGTCAATTTTACAGGAGAGAAGAGTCTCTGTTGAATTCTATTCTGAAAACACCAGCCTAGCATGTGCTCTTCTCAAATATCTTACAATATTCTTTTGGCATTATGTATCAGCTTCATATTTTTAAAACCAATATATGATCACCTTAAAAAACTATAAAAAATTCTGAGTATCTACTCAATATGTATACATAGGACACCTACAATGTACAAGGCAATGCTAGATGATATAATGTTACTATTTATTCCTTAGAGACAAGCCTCGGCTCTTATTACACTCCAGGTATCTAAATGGAAAATATTATCCAGGTTTTCCAGCTACTTGCTCATTCTTGCAATGAACAGAGGTGACAGATTGAAGTACTGAGTGTGGCTGTGAAAGACGCAGAGTGTAATGTCTCATAGATTGGATTTTAGACAGATGAAACTGCAGGCTCCTTTACTATAATACAATGTTTCTCTCAGAAAATGTGCCCTAAACTTCACTGTTTCATCACTTTTGTTATAAATAACCTCTAAAAGCTTCTCTATTCTCATAATATGATTCTTTTCCAGAAGCCTGCATCTTATTTTCTTATTTTTCCATTGTTGTATTGCATTAATATAAGTCACCCCAGCCTCCAAGTCAGACTGAACGACCCATTAAGATCCATGCAACTTTCAAGAATGGATGCGTGTGATAAACAACCTAAACATTTTTAAAAGTGTTGATTTTTCATACTGATGCCTTTTCATGTAGGAATCCTAAGAGACAATTGAGGAAAAGCTAATAGGGATGGGAGTTGTGATTAAAACCTCAGAAATTGTATGTTGGAGATAATTTTAAGACTAAGTTACAGAAAAGAAGTTTAGAGTTACACCTTTGTGTTCCTGCTTACAAAACCACAATAAACTTTATGAAATGGGGCTTTGGTTACCTACAAGTGTTCCAAAATAGAGAAAAAAATTAACTGATGGAAGTTTCATTAATGCTAATATACATACGATATCTATATTAGTACTAATAAAATATATATTTTAATGTATAGTATATAATATAAAGTATATATAGTACTATATATAGTATATATTAAATACTATATAGTTATATATAGTACTATATATAGTATATATTAAATACTATACAGTAATATATAGTATATGATAGATATATAGTAATATATATTTCAATATATTCTCATATGTATAGGATGATAGAAATGAGATGTACAGATTGTCATAGCAATGGCCCTTTCTCTCTTTGTGAAAGAACTACTGGATGCTATAGATTAGTTTACTCAACCTGCATTTCACCTTTCTTTCAAGTGTGGAATTTCAAAATCAAAACAAAACAGAAAGAACACGTTTTCCAGATTCCTTTGAAGCAACGGTTCTAGAGGCAAATTAGATCTGCCAATCATATGCACGGGCATGAAATTTGGAAAGCCAAAGTGAGGTAGAAGCCATCTTCCTGTCACATTTTGTCTGCTTCTGCTTGGAAGCCTGTGGTGGAAACCACAATTTCTCTGCAGCAATTAATCTTCAACAGCCTCTTTTCCTAGCTCTGTGCTGCCTCAGTATGGAGTCACTAGCGTCATGTGGCCACGGAGCATATGCAATGTGGCTGGGCCAAATGGAGATGTTCTGTAAGTGTAAAACACACAGTGGGCTTTCATGTCTTACTATTCCCCAAAACATAAATAAGTAAAAATCAAGTAATCAATTTTCATAAGCATTGTGTATTGAAATATTTTATATATAATTATGTAAGTATAATCATATTAATTTTTGTTAAAAAATTTAAAATTAATTTTACCTATTTTACTCCCTTGTTTAATGAGGGCACAAGAAAATTTTAATTTACATATATGTCTCACATTATATTGCTATTAGTCAGCACTGCTCCAGCTTACTTGTGTAGAGAGAATGGGGGAAGCCATTATGTGGCTTCTCTATCCATCATGTGAGTTCCTGGATGGCAGCCATGGATATTGATTCTCTTGATTCTTGGTGGTTCTGTGGCCATGGAAGTGGGCTCCTGATTTTGGCTTAGCTTCTTTGGTGACCTCAGTAGTAGTAGTGGCTCTCCTGATAGTTCTAGGAGTCATCTTTATGGGTCCTACTGAGAGCCCCCTCCTTCAGTCTTTCTCCCTACTTTGTAAACATCCACTCTTCTGTGTTTATTCCTTCTTGTTTAAAATCTTAATATGTTTTCTGTTCCTTGCACTGAATCTTTATTAAAAAAACAGAGACATCTTAAATAATAGGATCAGTTTTCAGAATGGAACTCTTTTGATTTAGGTTTGTATTTTTAAGTTCCTAAGGAAAAAATCTATTTTTTTAATAACAAACCTTCTGAAGCTATGGGAATATCCCTAGTAAGAGACATTGTTGGGGGGAGGGGACTCATTCTTTTTGCCTGAATACAGCACTTATAACACCTATATTTCCATATTCCAAACAAAAGACAAGCCTGGGAAACCTCTCAAATGATTTTTTAAAAGGTACCTCTCCAAGTAATACTATTCATTAAAACAGAAGTTTAAACAGAAGACTGCAGTAAAGGAAGAAGAAATTAGATGGCCCCAATCTGATATGAACCATTCCCTGGTCAAATCTGATTTCCATGATAAGAGCCTACAAAATTACTTGCCATTTTTCTCATTTTCAGCATATCTTGAGGGCATCCAAATGGTGACCTCCCTTCATGTGTTCCTTTGTTCCTGTTGTAAAAGCGATTTATGAATCTGCCTGGTTATCACTGGCATCGTTATATTTTATATAGAGGTTGTTGCCTATTTCCCATACAGGATGCTTTATCCAGTACTACTGGGCATTGAGTGATGATATCACAGCACCTGAAAATTGCCACCCTAACTAGCGTAGCTCCCCAGGTTTCTTTTACAATCATAGAAAATACATGTCTCATCCCCAGCCATGCAAGATTTTAGATGTAAATTAATGAAGTGCTAGCCTCTACCTGCCATGGTGGGGAAGTTCATGAGTTGCTTAAAGCCAAAGCCAGTACAATAATTATTTACGTGTGCATGCGCATGCACACACACACACACACACAGTGGATTCCTTTAAGACAAGTTCACTTTTCACCTACCCTATCATGTGTTTGACAGTGCATTAAAGATCATTTAAACAAAATGCACAGTGCACTAAAAGATCATTTGCTAGGAAAGGAAAAAATCTAATTGCTGAATTAGATTTTTGTTTTGCTTTTTTCTCAGTCTCACATTTCAGATTTCATTAACCTAGTCTTAGCTATTTACATTTCTTGGCAAGATGTTAAATATAGTAATGTTGGGTAACAGATAACAGACTATGTAAGCACAGACAAAAAGTAGACAAGTATAATAATCTTAAGGATCATGGAATTGCAGGCTGCTGTGACTTTCAGGCCTGAGCTCAGCCTGTATTTATGCTGGGAAGATCTCAAGTTATCTGATGGGCCTACAGATGTACAGATTTTGCATTTGATATTGTATGAAAATCCAATATATATCTGAGGTAATGCCATAGATTTACTTACAATATGGAAGAAAGTGGAAAAGAGGAAAGAAGATAGAGGAAGAGAGAAAGAAGGAAAATGCAAAGTAAATAAATGATGAAGTGATTCAAAGAAAGGAAGCAATGCCCTATAGAGGAAATCAGAAGGAAAACATTAAAAAAAAAAGAGCGGAAATAATAGAATGGAGAACAAAGAGATAATGGCAGGAAATTAGTGAAGAATTCATATTTATCAAACAATTCAAATTCTGTGTTCTTGTCCTCTGTTACTACCCATGTGCACCATAAAAAGAAGGACACACAATTCTTGAAGTCAATCACTTCCATATGAGGCATAGAATATTCACAAGGAAGTGTGGAGGAATGGAATTCATTTCAAATTAACCTGCTCCACACACCTTACTCTGGACTAGAAAGAATCTGTGCATTAGTAGGAAGAAAACTGGAAAAAACTGAATTGTAAGGAGGATTCCTCTATGGCCCACTATCCAGGAGTAGAGGATAAACCTGGGAGGAGGAGGGAACACAATGAAAATCTTCGAAATTTCAAGACTCAAGAGTAGAGTCGATTTTATTCCATGCCCTGGAAGAAAGATTTTGGAAAGCTGCAGTCATACTGCTTCTCTTCCAACAATTGGACACTGAGAGAATGATTAAAAACAGAATGAAAACAAAAAATATAAAGCAATGGAATGCATATAGACCTGAGAGGACCCAAATCCTCAATGTCTTGCATGCGCTTGCTCCTGCAAATCTGTAGCATAGAATACATTTATGAGTTATGAGAATCCCAAGCTATGAGTTAACAGAATTAATGGGGTAAGAGAGTGAATGTACTTAGCAGGTTTAATCCTGCAACGTGAAGTGATTTGCCTCAAGAGAGACTTGTGGATAAGTCACAAAGATGGAGGATGATGAGGTTGCATCATGGTTCTTCACTAAAATCAAGAATAGGAAAGGACACAATACTTTTTTTTTTTGAAAATTTATGTAGCCTCACATTTGTCACAATAGTTGTGCAATGTAAAGTATCATCCCCTCAGTTTTCTGGTGAAGATGCCTAGATTTATCAAACAAAACTCAGTTGGTGTCTGTTAAAACTGGAATTCAAGTACAGAAATACCCAATTATATATTGTATGCCCTTCATAATACTATAGACAGACCCAGGCTTTGTTAATATTTGCTACGTGTTTACTCAAAAGTATATATTGAGTTCCTACCATCTGTCAATAACGTATTTGCTACATGAGAAGAAAAATAGTTTTTGAAAACTTGGAGACTGTTATCTAAAGAGGAAGATAGATATTAAATAAGTATCAGTACTGCATAGTAGGAGGACATGTAAGAAGTGAAACCGAAACTAGTCTGAATTAGACAGGAGGTAACATTGCAGCTGAAATTTGAAAGACAAGGAATTAGGTAAGGCAAGGGGTAAGGTTGTTATATGAAATACAAACAGCCCAAATATTGAATGGAACATACTTATATTGAAAATTATGTGCTGTTTATCTGAGGTTCAAATTTAACTAGGCACATACAATCCCACAAAAGAGTAGAGGGGATGTCCCAAGAACAGAGAAGAACGTGCATGAAAATCTTGAGTACTAACACATACACATGACAATTATGGGGGAGGAGGATGATACTGCTTTTTAGTTTTTTTTTCTTATTATTGTTTGTATTTTTCTCTATTTCTTGTGAACAGTCAGGGTTCAGAAACAGTGATCTATGATTATAGGGCAGCCCTCAAATTTGTGTCCCACTTCAAATTTCTCTACATTCCAGATGTTCGTTTTCCATCGCACCCTATTTGCAATCCATCAGCAATTGCATTTAATTCTTCCACAAAAATACATCTCAGATATGTGTTTAATTCTTCTGCCCCTACTACTTCTGATCGTGGAAGAGCATAGGCATTTCTTGTTTCAAGTGATGATAACATTTTCTAATTGCTGTATTCCTTCTGGCTGTGCCCTCCTTCTCCCTTGCATTAAAATACAGAGTAATCTTCTCAAGATCTATGTCAGGTCATATCATTTTCTTCCTTTGAAGCTTCCAGTGAATTACCCCTGTATTGAGAATGACATCTAAGCTTCTTTTCCATGCCCTCTAAGTCCATTCATAAATCTCCTTCCCATATATTTAAGCTCATCCATACCATTCTATGCCCAGCTTATAACATTTCAGCTCTTTGATTGTGCAAACTCTTATTTGGTAAATGTTCTCTGAGCTCTTCTAAATGTTGATAAGAGTGAAATTAGAGATTTAGAAGAGAGAGGGTGACAACTCATGATCTTAAAAAGGTAAGATGTGCTGGGTCCCAGAATGCGTAAGAAAGAATTGGGCCTGGATAAAACAGAAAACTTCTTTTGAACGTGAAAAGGTACATACATGTAGCCACAGCTGGTTATGCTGATATGGTAGTCAACTGCTGGGAGCAAGCCCCCCAAAATCTGGCCATAAACTGACCCCAAGACTGGCCATAAGCAAAATCTCTGCAGCACTGTAACATCTTCATAATGGCCCTAACAGCCACGCTGGAAGGTTGTGGGTTTACGGGAATGACGGCAAGGAACACCTCGCCTGCCCAGGGCAGAAAACAGCTTAAAGGCATTCTTAAGCCACAAACAATAGCATGAGCAATCTGTGTCTTAAGGGCGTGCTCCTGCTGCAGTTAACTCGCCCAACCTATCCCTTTAATTTGGCCCATCACTTCGTTTCCCATAAGGGATACTTTTAGTTAATTTAACATCCATAGAAACAATGCTAATAATGACTGGCTTGCTGTTAATAAATACGTGGGTAAATCTCTGTTCAGGGCTCTCAGCTCTGAAGGCTGTGAGACCCCTGATTTCCCACTTCACACATCTATATTTCTGTGTGTATGTCTTTAATTCCTGTAGCGCCACTGGGTTAGGGTCTCCCCGACGGACCTGGTCTCGGCAGTTAACAAAATAATGGCATCTATTAATTTTTTCTGTTCCGTAAGAAGTAGGATCATTGGATGAGAGTAAGAGGGAGTTAAGGGCCTCCAATAATTATTTTTAAATAATCATTGTTAAATATGAAATTGAACTAACTAGAGAAATACCTCCATCGTGACTGGAAGTGTTACACATCAGGTTCAGGGTGATAATCATGATTTATAATGGAACCAACCATCCATGCATGTAGCATGATTTTCTATAGCTGTTCAGCTTTCAAGGACAAGTACTGAGACTACAGATAACTAAGGCTCATTAAGGTCTTTGTTAATCACCAAAGAGACCTGTAGCTTTTCCTGAGCACAACCTGGCTCTCTCTGAGGCAGGTCTTTGCTTACCTAAGACAGAGTATGAACCCTCTCTTGTTTGGTACCCTCACGATTCCAGAAAAGCAGAAAGATTTCAAACAGAAATGAGTCCAAAATATTTTTCTTCTGAAACTCTATTTTATTTTCTGCTAAAGTATAAGTCACCATGCCCTATTCCAGATGAAATAACTGCTCTTAATATCCTCTAAAAATATGGTTATATTCCTACCTGCACACTGAAATCTCATGAAAAAAAAAAAAAACCTTTAAATACCAAAGCCTGAGCTCCAGGCCTAATATTTTAATGTAATTGGTCTATTGTGGGGTCAAAAGGAGTTTTAAAAGTACTCAGGGGTGTCTAACATGTAGCCAATATTGGGGACCTGTGATTAGAATATGTGCTGTACAGAGAATGTCTAGTTTCAATTATCTTGAAGAAGTTTGAGACATGCATATTTACATACCCTACTTCTGAAGCTTACAATTTTGAGACATCAAAGTAGATACACAAGAAGTTTATGAGAAATAAGTTGTCAGGCTCTACTGATATGAATTATTTAGGCTTAGCATTTAGGCTGAGTCCATAATTTAACTGAAAAGTAATTCATACGTCTCAAAACTAAACTGTTACTAGTGAAAGAGCAATTATAATTGGAAGATCTTTTGTTGAGGGAGAATGGAAGAACTAAAATAGAAGACATCTAAGTCCAATTAAATGCTGGTCATTTGTGAAAATTAAAAAGATATTTTATCCAAACATTTTAATTGCTCCAGGTTGTTTTCCCTTGAAGTTTGTCAGTAAAATTAACATTACATAATGAAATTGAGCAAACTCATTTGTAGCTGATTTGAAAATAAAAGGTATTATTAAAGCTTTTGACAGCAGGAGATCAAATTTGTAGTTCTCCTTGTCAGATATGAGAGAATTCTGATGGGCCAGCTAGAAAAATGGACACGATGGCCAGGCATGGTGGCTCACACCTGTAATCCCAGCACTTTGGGAGGCTGAGGCAGGTGGATCACCTGAGGTTGGGAGTTTGAGATTAGCCTGACTAACATGGAGAAACCCTGTCTCTACTAAAAGTACAAAATTAGCCAGGTGTGGTGGCACATGCCTGTAATCCCAGCTACTTGGAGGCTGAGGCAGGAGAATTGCTTGAACCCAGGAGGCAGAGGTTGCAGAGAGTAGAGATCACACCACTGCACTCCAGCCTGGGCAACAAGAGTGAAACTCCAGCTCAAAAAAAAAAAAAAAGAAAAAGAAAAGAAAACAGAAGAAAAATGCAGATGATGATCATAGGTCTTTCTCATCTCAACTTTGATGCAATCTGGAGTAATACTAATTTATACCCGGCCACACTTCCTTCCGTCTTACCATGTGATGTGACCCACAATGTCTTGAATTATAATAATGCTTCCATTATCAATTTCTGATTATTTTCCCAGAAAACCAAACTATTGATTGTGTTTTGAGACAAGCACAGTTAAAAGCCATATTCAAAAGTTGCAGCAAAAATTGGAGAATAATTCAGATATAATTTTTTTTAATACTTTCTATAGTGAAGAAGTATAGTAACAAAAAGGTTCAAACATTTAGTTGCATTTGTGTATATAGTGATACCTCTTTTTTAAGTTATAATTTTCTGATGACTGATGGTATTAAGAAATGTAATATATAATTGGTATTTATCCTCTTTTGTGAAGCTCTATTCAAGTCTGTCCATTTTCTATGCGGTTTCTTATTTGTTTTTATTTGTAGGAGTGCTTTATATATTCAATATATAGGATCTTTGAGATACGACTTATAAACACCTTCTCTGACTTCTCTGGCTCACAGTGATGTCTTTTGAAGGACACAGATAACACAAGTTGGTATTTTTATGCAGTGCAATTAATCAATTTCTAACTGTATGGCTAAAACATTTTCTTCCCAGTGTAAGAACTATTTCTTTCTGCAATGTCATTAGTATATTCTCATGTTTCGTTAATCTTAATTTTCACACTTAGATAATAACCCATCTGGAATTATTTTGCTTATGGTGTGAAAAAAGGGTCAAATATATTTTATATCGATATTCAATTGACTGTAACACTTTATTGAAAAGGACATTATCTTCTAATTGAAGAGTCACCTTTATTATAAGTCATGTGATGCAATGTGTGTGGATGCCCTGATAGACTCCTTTGGTCTATTTGCTTTTACTTATACTACTTTCACACTGTTTTTTACTTTTATAGTTGTATAATATGTCTTAACATATGGTCACGTAAGTATTTTATTTTTGTTATTATTCTTCAAGATTGCCTTGACTATTCCTGCTGTTTTTTATCCTAAAGCTTTACTAAAACTTTTAGAAAAGATTGTAAATTTTCAAAAAAAAATCAACTAGGGTTTTTACTGATAATGCATGGATTCTCTAGATTAATGCAGACAAGAATGACATCAACAAAAGATCAACTCTTCCTATTCACAAATATTGGCTATCACACTATTAATTAGGCCTTCTATAATGTCTTTTAATAATTTTTGTTTTGTTTTGTTCTTTATTCCTCTGTAAAGGTCTTTCTCAACTAGGTAACTGATATTTTCATGTTATTAAAAATGACACCCTTAATTTTTTTCATTTTCTAAGCATTGTTATGAGAAATGTAACTGATATTATGTATTGACATCATGCCACACTATCTTGTTAATTTAAAATGTTAATAGCTGTTTATAGATTCTTTGAGTTTTTATATACAGAACTACACTGTCTACAAATAGTGACAGCTTTTTGTCATTTGTTACAAGCTTCATATTCTTTTTTCCTTACTGTGTTGATGAACAAGAACTGCCATCACATATTTAATAAGATTGGTAACAGGTATTGTTTTCTTCTTTATCTTCAAGGCAAATAGGTAATTATTTTAAAAATAAATATGATATTTGCTATAGGTTTAAAGATTTTGATAGAATTGACATATGATAAAGTCCACATATTAAGGTGTACAAATAATTAAATTTTGAAATATGTATATACCATAAAATAACACAATCAAGTAATCCTTCCCTCTTGTACTTCCCTCCCACCCCTTTCCTATCAGTAGATAATGACCATTACAGCTCAATTAAAAATTCATATGCCTTTTTTGATTTTCATATAAAAGCCACCAGATAGTAGGTACTCTTTCATGTCTGGCTTCTTTCACACAGCATAATTATTTAAAGATTTATCTACAATATAACATTTATCCGTAGATCATTCTTCTTTTACTTTTTGGTATTACATGGCACAGATATAGAACAGCTGTTTATTCACCTATAGATGGACATTTGGGTGGTTTCCAGTTTGGAGCTATTGTACCTAAAGCAACAAAGAACATTTCAGTACAGCTTTTGATATAGGTATAGACACAGATATATAAAGATGGTATATTCCTTTTATTTTCAAAAAATTATAAGCACATACATTTATAATATAGAAAATAATACTTAAGTAAATATTTAGGATTGAGATGGTTAAACCAGATGGTGTATCTTTAACTTTCAGAAAAGCACTAACTAACCTGTTTTAGATGTTTGTACCAATTAGCTTGTTAGTTGCTTTTTTTGTCTTTTTAGTGGTTCTCCACATGGTTCTCTAAGGTGATTTGACTTATTACAATGTCATATAAGTTTATAAATTTATCCCCCTCCAGGGTAATGTAGGATCTTAGACACTTCAATTCTATTTACCTGCTTCTCCCTTCTTTTTATTATTAGGTGTTTATTTCTATGTACATATCTTAAGTCCAATAGGATCTTACCTAATTGCTTGAGACAGTAATAACTCATTTTGATTTGACTACATTTTCACTCTTTCCATTGATTTTCATTTCTATGTTTTCTTGTTTCTCTTTGGGTTTATTCTTTTGCCTTAGAAATTCTGTATTTTCTGTTTTAGTCCATAGGTCTGCTAACAAATTCTCTAAGTTGTCTTTTTTGTTTGGAAATCAATTTGTATAGCCTCAATTTTGAAAAGAATTTTCTCTAGGTATGGAATTCTAAGTTGGTATTGCATGGGGCTTTCGTGTATTTTGCAGGTAGCTTTCCATTTTCTCTTGGTTCTTTAGAAGTAAGCCTTCTTTATGAACGTGGCTCATTGATAGCATTCTGCCTCTTTTCCCTAACCACATTTAAGATTTTTTTCTTGTTTTATAGATTTTTACTGTGACGTACTCTTCCTACTTGCAGTTCTCATCACGTCGTGATTCTGCACCATGTTTGGTGTTTCTTCTGTTTTAGAAAAATCTCATTTTCTCTTCAAGCTTTATTTCTTCTTCATTCCCTGCTTTCTGTCTTGGATTGCAATTATGCATACTTCATACCTCTTCCACTCTTGCCACTATGTCTCATCTTCATTTGCTGGCCATTTTTTAAAACTGTACCACAATCAAGTTCACTAATCATGTTCTTTTCCTGTATCCAATATGCTCTATTTAGATGCAGTTGAGGTATTATTCCTTTTTAGAATTTCCATTAATTCTTTTATGAGATATTCCTATTCCTCTGAGACTTCCCACCTTGTCATCTTTTCTCTTGAACATAATAAGCACAGTTATTTAAATGTCTGTGTTTCACAACTGCAATACCTTGATCACTTGTGGGTCTTTTCTATTGTCTGATGTTGCTATTGGTTTCCTTTCTTTGGATTTTTGTTGATCCTTGGATATTGAGCATAAAAAATTCAAAAGCTATGGATGACATTTCTTTGCCCCAGAATTTATTCACCTTATCCTCTGGCATGAAGCTAGAATGGTGTCTAATTAACTTAATCAAAGGACTGAACTGACTCTAGACTGTGTTGGAATTTTCTGTCAGTTAACCTCTGGTTGACCCTTGCTCTGAGATTATTACCTTCTAGAGGTATTATGTGAGAGTCAATATGTTTGTTTTCTCTATACATAATTGGTGCATCCTAAATTATGATCTTTTCAGTACAGTGAGAGTAACAAAACCTTCATTCTTCTTTCCAAAGGCTTTCTGAATGGCTTCAGTCTTCTTGCACTGCTGTTTAATTATACAACACATTTATAAAGAGTCAAAATCTCAAATATGAGGTTCATGTCTCTGTGTCACCCTTGCCTTCATGATGTTGTTCTTTCAAGTCTTATCCTACTTGAAAATCACAAACTTGGATATTTGTCTTCCCAGACACAAGATATTTCCAAAAGTGCTTATGGGATTTCTGCTTCTTAGCAGCAGCCTTCTTCCAGGGTTCTCAGCCTCTTTCCATGTTCAGAAAATCAGCAAATGCCTCAAAGGCTGAGGGAGCCTGCAAAATGCTGTCACTCTTTTCCAGTACCTTCTTTTTCAGGTTCTTTGCCCCTAGATGCCTGGCAACCTTGACTGCCCTTTGATGTCCCCAAACAGATGTATTTTAGATTTTTATCTGGCTTTCCTAGTTGTCCTTTATTGATCATCATAGCTGGAAAGGAATTCTCTATAAAACTCAAATTTTAACTAGAAAAAGCCAGATGCCAACATTTATTAACTTGTTAATTTAATGTTGAAAATTCAAGATGTGGACCAACTGACCTCCATAATATTCTTAGATATATGTTAAATTTTATTGCTTCCCCTACACTTTATTGGATAAATTCTGAAGTTAATTACAATGAAGATGTATGCAAGTGGGTGAAACAAGAGGCAGAATAAAATCTCAAAAGTGTGCAACTCCTTAAAAAGAATATAAGTGCTTTCTTATATAATTTTTAGAATTATCACAATTGGAAAATAATAAGATGTTCTGTACTATTTACTCTTCACTATAAATATTTTAACCTTGTAGTTCAGTACTGACCCTCTATTGTTTGAGAGTTGAATGCCATGATAATGTCACATTTAAACATTGTAGGAGAAAGATATACTAGTTTTTAATACATGCTTATTGATTTTTCTTCTGTACTTGACTAAGTTCACATTAAATTTGTTTTTTTTTTAATCTAGTTTTTGTATGGAATCTATCCACAAATTAATTTCACTAAAATCTCTTCCAAACCCAGTTTAGAAAACCAGAAGAAGTGATTTTCTTCAAATCTAAGTTGATCATGATGAATGTACACCCTGTGCCTAAGTTCAGTTCATTTATTTAGGGAAAAGATCACTGAAATCAGTTGTTGACTTATTTCTCAAATAACAGTTTAGATGTTATGTGACTATAACTTCAAATGTAGCACTGAGAGAGATTAAATTGGAATAGTCAGTTTTACTAATGATGTTACATCTGTATAAAATATATCATTATGATGGCACATACTAAAGGTGTTTCTAGCTGACAATGTGCCGTTAAAATATACAAACATTTTTATATGAATTAAGAATACTGACAAAAGTAGTATCATTCATATTTATCTTCTTAAAAAAGAAAAATATTCCATACCATCTGCCTCCTCAATCCCTGTTTGCTAACTTGTCACTCTGTGTGTAAACTGCTCGGGATACTATTTAGTTCAGACCTTGGATCCATACTCAACTCACAGGTGTCCATTCCTAGTATCTCTCTCTACACTTGTAGCTCCCCCCATCCTCTGCTGGTTTGGTCTGCGCTCTTTCAGCTTCCTAAGCTCTTTTCCTAATATTGTATTTCTTTCACAATGTTCTCCAAGGGAGTAAATGCCTTCCTTACTGCTGATAACACTTCCAGCAATCCCCCAAAACTTCCTAGTGACTTTATCATTAGCATCCCAGATCTTTCGCTCTCCATTACCTATTTCCAGCTCAAAGAATGCCATCATCCTCATTAAAGATTCTTCAAAATTCACATTCCTAAATCTCTTCTATATGATGTTTGTTTCTATCTTATTCAGCCACCCAGTGATGTGGTAATGATCTTGCCTCCAGTGATTACAAAGAACATCCACCTCCTAGAAGTGATCAAAATCACCTTACATTCTACTTCTTTGGCCTTCATTCTCATGCTTATTTCATTTCTCTCATCCTTATTCCACACTCTAACATTCACTCTCATGTTAGTCTACTTCCTTGCCTTACTTTGGGCTCTTGTTGACACTCATCCCTTTAAAGACCCAGGAACATTTCCATAACCATCTAAATAACACTCCAGAGTCACTCTCCTTTCCATTCCAAAGGGCATACCCAGCCAAGTAAATTTTGAGTTTTCATTGTCTTTATCTGCTGTCATTAAGTTTTGGGAAAGTCTCACCATTGTTTAAGTTGATGTCAATAAAATTTCTTTCTACTTTCCTGACCCTTTCTGTTGTGTAGGGAGACCCCTGGAAACTATTGCTACGGAATAAAAGATGAAATGCTCCTGATTATTGTAAATACAAAATTGCATGCAGGATTGTGTAAAGACAATGCCAGGTTGGGCTGCCAGGATGAGCCAATAGCGCGTGATGTGCTTCCTCCTGCAGAGAGCCTATGAACGGACATGCAGTCAGGGAGGTTTCACATCACCAAGATTCCCATCCCAGAAAAGCAGATGTTCATAGCTCTGGGAATGGAATGCGACCCCTGTGGAGAGCCTATAAGTCAATGCATGAGGGGCGCCTGTCCATATGGATAAGATAGGACTATAAAGGCCCTCATCTTGCCACGGCTCTTCTAGGCCTCTTTAGGGTTAAGGCATACTCCCTTCTGAGAATTTCTAGTCTAACCGGCTGTCTAGCTTCACGTCCTGTTTCTATGGATTGCTCGTAACCAGGTTTTGCTGCAACTGTTACTGCTGATTAATATCTTGCTAATCATAGGTTATGGAAAGATTGTGTTTCTGTTTTAAGGCTCTGTTAGAAATTACTGATATACACACTATATTGTAAATTCTTATATCCATGTACTGTACTGCTGCATACAGATGTTATGTTAAAGAACTACTTCATCCCCATGTGACCATCTCACCTCATAATCAAAAGACCCTAAATCCCTCACTAACCTACCCCTGCCCTCGCTAAACTTAAATACTGGTATATCCAGTACATTGGTGGCATCGCAGGACCAGAAGGCGGTTGACCCCACTAGACCCAGCTTTCACTATCTTGTGTGTGTCTATTATTTCTTGACCTGTCGATCTGCCTGGGAAAAAAGAGAGAGCCCCGTTGCACTGCGGGCTGCTGGCCAGATCCCGCAATACTGTTGTTCAACAATTTTTTGTCAGTTTGTTTGTAGTTGTCTTCTGCAAAAATGTTTAAGTCTATTTCAAATTTTTAACTTCCCCTGAACTGTTAGGTAGTTGTAGAAAAGAAGCACATTTATCGAAATTCCAAAATTGATAGGGATAAAACTAAATTGTTAACAAAGCCCAAAATAAAGTCTCTCCCCACCTCTCTCTAATTCTCCATTGTCCTATCCTCTGTGGCACAATTGTTGTGGTCTTTTAAAAATGTGTGTATAAGGCCAGGTGCAGTGGCTCACACCTATAACCCCAGCATTTTGGGAGGCCAAGGCAGGTGGGTCGCCTGAGGTCAGGAGCTCGAGACCAGTCTGGCCAACATGGTGAAACCCCGTCTCTACTAAAAAAAAATACAAAAAATTAGCTGGGCAGGTGGCGCATAGTGGCACACGCCTGTAGTCCCAGCTACTCGGGAGGCTGAGGCAGGAGAAGCACTTGAACTTGGAAGGCAGAAGTTGCAGTGAGCCGAGATCGCACCATTGCAATCCAGCCTGGGCAACAAGGGTGAAATTCTGTCTCAAAAAAAATAAAAATAAAAATAAAAACAAGTGTGTTCATCTAGCTCAAACTAGTCTTTACACACATTTAATAATTACTTTCACACTTCAAACACATTTGGTAATAATTTCCATAGCTGCATATTTTTGTTTCAACACTTCATTCCTCTATCAAAAACCTCAGTTTCATTTCCCTCCAACTGAAATCAACCACACTCTTGACTCTTGCTGAAAAACACATCTTATCTCTTCAATGTTTTCTCTGTAGTTGGAAATTTTATACATAAAAGTAAAGTTTTGTACAGAAAATGTATAAGTCTCTTATATAGGAAGTAAAGGTTTTTGCCATCTTGAACACAGAGAGTGGTAGAAAAGCTGTACGGTGTAAACTGAGACTTTCTTACTAAAATAGAATTCCTGAATAACCAAGGACTTTCTAATATTAACAATGGAACCATCACCTTATTGAGAAACTCAACCCATTAAATATAAGCTGCCTAAAATTTCTCATCTCTGCATTTTTGATGTTTAGAAGAAAATAAAGAGTATAAACACATAAAGAGGTTTGCTACATTAGGGATAAATTGGTAACAAATAGTCACTACAATTATACTTTTAAAAATGAATTTTATTGTATATATTTAAGGTATATAACATGGTGTTATAGACTACCTATCGACAGTAAAAGCATTCCTATAAATAGATTAACACATTCATCATCTCATGTAGTTGTGCTTGTTTTTGTGGAAAAACCAGGTAAAATCTATTCATTTGGCATGATCTCTAATACAAGAAAATTTTATTGCCTATACTGTTTATGTTGTACCTTAGATCTCTAGACTTCGTCATCTAACATAGCTTCTTCCTTGTATCCTCTGACCTATATCTCCTCATTTCATCCCCACCGCCCACTCTCATCCCTAATAACCACTTTTTTATCCTCGATCTATTTGTATAATTTATTTTTCTTTTCTTTTAGCTTTCACATATAAGTGAGATCATGCAAAATTTTTCTGTCTGATGTTTCAATTAAAACAATGTCCTGTAGGATCATGCACACTGTGGCAAAATGAAATGTCTTTTTTTGGAGGTTGTATAATATTCCATCATACACGCACGTGCACACACACACACACACACACACACACAATGTCTTTATCCATTCAGCCATCAATGCTTCCATATCTTGGATATTCTGAATAATGCTACAATGAACATGAGAGTGTAGGTATCTTTAAGAGGTAGTGATTTCATTTCTTTGGGTATTTGTCCAGAAGAGGGATTGCTGAGTCATATGGTATGTCTATTTTTAATTTATTTGGAAATCTCTATACTGTTTTTCCAAAATGGTTGTACCAATCTACATTCTCACTAGTAGCGTACAAGAATTCCCTTTTTCCACACCCTCACCAACATTTGTAATCTTTTGACATTTTGACAATAACCATCCTAATGAGGAGGGTGAAGTGGTATGTCATAGTGGTTTTGATTTGTATTTATCTGACGATTAAGGACATTGAGCACGTTTTCATGTATCTACTGGCCTTTGTCAGCCTTCCTTTGATAAATATCTATTTTGGGTTTTTCTCAGTTTTTAAATCAGTTTGTTTTTCTAGCATTGAGCTCTAAGGTATTTTATCCATTTTTAGTTCCTTTTCACAGGATAAGATTCAAATTTTATTCTCTTGCATGTGGAAGTCCAATTTCACAGCATCCTTTTTTGAAGAAACTATCCTGTTCCTATTGTTTATGTTGGTGCCCTTGTCAAAAATTAGTTGACTGTATGTGTTTGCATTTATTTCTGAACACTCTGTTTTGTTCTACTCATCTGTGTGTTTTTATGCCAGTACACTACTGCTTTTGTTACTACAGCTTGGTAACATAACTTGAAATCAGGAAGTATGATGACTTACAATTTTTTCTTTCTTAGAATTGTTTTGACTGTTTGAGGTCTATTGTTCCACACAATTTTGAAATTGTTTACCATATTCCCTTGAAGAATGCCACTGTATTTTGATAGGGATTGCATTGAATATGTATATTGCTTTGGGTAGTATGGACATTTCAACAATATTTATTCTTCAATCTATGAGCATATCTTTATTTGTGTCGTCTTAAATTTCTTTATCAATGTTTTATAGTTCTTACTGTAGAGATCTTTCAGCACCTTGGTTAAATTTATTCCTAGTAATTTTATTTTTGATACTAACAAACGGATTTTCTTGGATTCGCTTTAGTCAGATTGTGATTTGTGTATAAAAATACTGATTTTCGTGTGTTGATTTTGTATCCTGCAACTTTATTGAATTTATTAGTTCTAATAAATGTTTTTGTGGAAACTTTGGGAATTTTTTAACATATGGGCTCATGCCATCTGCAAATATAGATAATTGTACTTCTTCCTTTCCAATTTGGATTTGTTTTATTTCTTTTTGCTGTCTGATTGCTCCTACTAGTTCCTCCACTATTATGTTAAGTAGAAGCAGTAAGAATGGGCATCCTTGCCTTGAACTTAATCTTAGTGGAAAAGCTTTGTTGTTTCCCATTGATTATGATGTTAGCTGTGGGTTTTTTCAGAGTTTTCATTAGGTTGAAATAATTCCCTTCCATACCTAAATTACTGAAAGATTTTTAATAAGAAAGGATGTCAAATGTTTTTTCTGCATCGAGACGATCATGTGGTTTTAATCTTTCATTCTATTTGTGTGATGTATGATATTGATTCATTTGTGTATGTTAAACCAGGCTTGTATGTCAGGAACAAATTCCACTGGATCATAATGTATAATCATTTTGATGTATTTTTGGATTCAGTTCACTAATATTTTATTGAGGATTTTTTGTTTGCATCAGTGTTCATAAGAGATATTGACTTGTAGTTCTAGTTTCCTTTTCTTGTGATGTCTTTGTCTGGCTTAGGATCAAGATGATGCTGGCCTTACAAAATGTATTTGAGAAGTTTTCCCTCTAGATTTGCATTTTGGAAGAGTTTAACAGTTATTGGTGTTAATTCTTCTTTGACTGTGGGCTGGATTTTGACTGTGAAGCCATCTGGTCTTGGGAGGGATCTTTTTTGGGAGGTTTTTTATTATTGCTTCCATCACTTTGTTCAGTGTGTATGGACTTTTGATTTCTTCCTGACTCAGTATCAGGTATTATTTTTCTAGGAATTTATCTATTTCCTCAAGGTTATTCAATTTGGTGGCATAATTGTTCATAGCAGTCTCTCATGATCCTTATAATTTCTTAAATATCTTTTATAATTTCTTCATTTTCATTTTACTCGAGTCATCTTTTTTCTTCTTAGACTAGCTAAAAATTTGTCAATTGTGTTTATGTTTTGAAAAATAGAACTCTTAATTGTTGCTGTGGTTTTTCTGTTCTCTATTTGATTTGTCTCTGTTCTTATTTTTATTATGTCCTCTCTTCTGCTAATTCGGGGTATAATTTATTCTAGTTCTCTAAGGAATCATGTTAGACTATTTGAGATCGTTCTTCTTTTTCAAGGTAGACATTTCTTGCCATACATTTTCCTTTATAATTGTTTTTGCTGCATCCCATAGGTTTTGCTAACGTTGTATTTGGATTGCCATTTGTCTCAAGATATTTCAAAAATTTCCTTTAGATTTCTCCTTTACACACTGCTTGTTCGAAAGCATGTTGTCTAATTTCCATATATTTGTGAATTTTCCTAAAACCTGGCTGTTACTGATTTCCTCTTTCATATTATAGTGGTCTGAAATGATACTAGATATTATTTCAGTCTACTTAATTTTGTAAAGACTTGTTTTGTGACCTAACATGTGATCTACCTGGGAGAATTTTCTATGTGCACTATAGAAAAATGTGTATGCTACTGGATTTGGATGGAAAGATCTCTATGTCTATCCAAAAAGATATATTAATCAAAAGTGCAATTCAAGTTCAGTATTTACTTATTTACATCTGATTGATCTATTCATTGTTGAAAAATGGGTATTAAAGTACCCTACTATTATTTTATTGCTATCTATTTCTGCTTCATGTCAATTAACATTTGCTTTATGTGTTCAGGTGCTCCTATGTTGGATGCATATTTTCAATGAGCATGTCCTTTTGATGAATCAATCCCTTTATCATCAGATAACCTTCTTTGTCCCTTAACAACGGTTTTTTAACTTGAAGTTACATTTAAGTATAGACACCCCTGCTCTCTCTTGGTTACCATTTGTATGGAATAATCTCTTCCATCCTTCACTTTCAGCCTATGTGTGTCTTTAGAGCTTAAAAGGGTCTCTTATAGGTAGCATACAGTTGAATCTTGTTTCGTTATAACCCATCCAGCCACTCTATGGTTTTGTTTGGAGAATGTAACTCACTAACATTCAAAATTATTAATAGGTTAATAGGTAAGGACTTACTACCAGCATTTTGATATTTTTTTTTTGGCTTTTTCGTAGCTTTTTATGGCTTTTTCCCTCTCTTGTCAGCTACATTTCAGATTTGATAATTTTATGTTGTTAGATTTTGTTTCCTTTGTTATCATTTATCTGCTGTAGTTTTTAATTCTGTGATTACCATGAAGGCTTACATAAAACATCTTATAGTTATAATCAACTACGTTAAGCTTATAACTTTTGTCACCGAGAAAACTCTGCACTTTCCTCCACACACGATGTTTATGTCACAATTTGAATCTTTTTATATTGTGCATTCTTTAATAACTTGTTGTACCTGTAGTTATTTCTGACCTTTTTTGCTTTTAACTTTTAAACTAAATATATGTATGATTTACATGTTACCATTACAATATAGGAGAATTCTGAGTTTGACTATGTATTTATCTCTACTAGTATGTTTTGCACTTTCATATGTATTCATGACAATTATTGTCCTTTCATTTCTTTTTGAAAAACACTTTTTTTGAAAAAACTTTTCTTGTAGGGCAGGTCTAGTGGTGATGAATTCTTTCAACTTTTGCCTACCAAGGAAAGATTTTATTTCTCCTTCATTTCTAAAAGACAGCTTTGCTATGTGTAGTATTCTTGGCTAGCAGGGTTTTTGTTTTGCTTTTCCTTTCAGCACTTTGAATATATATCATCTCTTCTCTCCTGGCCTTTAAGGTTTCTGTTGATAAATCTGCTGATAGTCTAATGTGAATTTCCTTATATGTGACTTGATGGTTTTTTCTTACTGCTTTAAAAATTTCCTCTTTTTATAGTTTGATTATAATGTGCCTTGGAGAGGACGTCTTTGAGTTGCATATGCTCTGGGACTTTTGAGCTTCACGGATTTGAATGCCCTCATCTTTTTCAAGCCTTACAAGCTCTATACCAGTTATTAAACTTTCTGTCCTATTACATCTCTTTTCCTTCTGAAACAGCCATATGTGAATCTTCGCTTGCTTAATAGCATCTCGTAAGTCCTGTAGACTGTCTGCAGTCTTTTTCATTCTTTTCCTCTGAGTCATTTCAAAAGATCTGTTTTCAAGTTTACAGACTATTCTGCTTGACCTCGTCTGCTGTTGAAGCTCTCAGTTGTATTTTTTCATTTCATTGATGAATCTTCAGCTCCAACATTTCTTTTTAAATATCTCTTCATTGAATCTCTTATTGAAATCATAAACTGTTTTTCTGATTTTACTGAATTTTATATTTGCATTCTTTTGTGTCTTGCTCAATTTCCTTAAAATCAGTACTTTAAATGCCTTTTTAAGAAATTTATAATTTTCCATTTCCTTATGGTCATTTACTACAAAATTATTGTGTTCCCTTGGTGGTGTCATATTTTCTTGCTTTTTTCATGTTTCTAGTGTCCCTACATTGTTATCACCTGTTCCAAATTCTACAGAGTGGTTTTTCTTAGAATATTATCACTTGTATATACAATTTAGGATGCTGTATACATAGGGTGCAGTGATTCTGACTATTTGTGGGGACAGTGGTGTAGTCTCCATGTAGCTTATTCAGTTGTGATCAACATGAGCAATGACTGAGATTGCCTCATGTCATCTCAGTCATCATATGCAAGTGTTTATGGCAGTGAGGGTGGCTACATAGGTTTTTAGGGCAAAGGCTTTAGGGATCTTCCTGTTATCATTCTCACAATGGGGGATTTTAGCTGAGAGGATCTCTTGATATCAGATCTGGCATGGCCCACAATCAGCCATAATGGCACTGGGATCCAGGGCACAGGTGCTCACAACAGCTATGCAGCTGTGTTCCTGGGCTTGGAGTCTTATGAAACTACTGTAGCACTGGGACCAAAGACACAGGCTCACTTTCCAAGGCATGAATAGATGTAGTTCTTCCACTATGATGGAGTGTATTGCTGAGGCACACCCCAGCAGCGCAGGCCCAGGGTGCTGGGATGTAGCCATGGTTCTGATTGTGGAGGGCAGGATGTAGTCCTGGCATGGCTCTGAGGAAGAAGGGGTGCTCTGGAGGACTAGGTTTCAAGAACCAAGGCACAGCTGCAATTCAGGACCTGGAATCAACAGGGCACAGTGGCAGATCAGGGTAAAGGGGATGAAGTACTACACAGTAATGAGTACTGACCCTGGGAGTGGAGGACATAGCAGCAGTCCAGGCTCTGTGAGGCCAGTTGCTGCAGCAATGTGGAGCCAGGAATGGCAAGATGCTGCCACAGCTTGTGCCCTAAGAGAGAGAAGCAGCATAGTAATGATCATCTCAGATTGCTGAGAGCTAGTCCTATTCTAGGTAGGCAGGACACTGTGTCTGTTCCACCTGTAGGGCAGGGTGGCACAGCTCAGCCAATACTCTGATTCTCAGGAACAGGAGGTACTGCTTCTCCTCAGCTTCAGAAAGTGTAGGTACGTGAGTATGCAGAGCTTCCAGGTCCCTATGGGGTGACATACTACATCAGCTAAGGTACAGTGGGGGCAAGATTGCTCCAGTTTGCCAGAAACCTGAAATTTCCCTGAAGTGAGATGCCACTTCAGCTCAGCTGCAAGGGGTAAGTGTAGCAGCAACTAGAATGGGAGATGGAGGAGCTCCAGGATAGCTTGGTTCTGTGGGTTAGGGTATAGCAGCAGCTTGGTTTCAAGGTGGCATGTTACTGGGAGGACATGATTTTGTGACAGCAAAACATCTAGGATAGAGATGTGATGGCTCCTTGCCCCTGGAGCAAGATGAACTTTAAGCAGTGGCTCTGGTTCCAAGATGGCAAAGCACAGTAGCAGCAGGGGCCACAGCAGTGCCAGGCACAGTACAGACTCCTCCTTTAGGGGTAGCTCAGCATGTGGACTCTGTAGAGTTCCCTAAGCAGGGCTCAGAGCCTGTGATGACCGCAGGCCTCAGCAGCGAAGACTGCAGGTGTTCATGGTGGTGATCAGGGCTGCTGGGATCTTCTTGCTTACCTTTTTATTTTAGGAAGGAGTCAGTACTGGTTCCCAGTAGATCTGATCATCGGGGATGGGGAGGGGTGGGGAGGGGTGGGGAGGGGTGGGGAGGGTTGGGGATGGGGTGACAGAAGCAAGATGTTTCCTTCCCTTCTTTATGCAGCCATCCAGTAGTTCTGTGCTTTATAGGATTTCTGCTGCTTCTTTGCTATTTGCTGGAACTCTCCTTTTGTCATTTTGATTGTAATGTAGTTGTTTACTTGTGTGATTTTTTTGTGGGGGTGTGGAGAATTTCTGGTGAGCCATTTTACTGACATCCACAACTATACTTTTGAACATTCTTTCTTGTTAAAAGCTGAGGTAGGGGGAAGTTTGTGTGTATTTTCCAGAATGAAATAGATGATGCTGCTCCAACACATTGATTGCAAAATCTTAAAAGTTTAAAACCACAAAGGCTTATTCTCATTCTATGACACATTAGTTATATACTGGTTGATAGAAGTAGGGGTTGAGGGAGCAATCTCTGCTTTGTTTAATCACTTAGAAGACCTAGACTGACAGAACTTTGACCATTTGTGACGCTGACAATACAATATGAGGTTTCCGTGGCTACCATAATATGAGAGCAGAATGCCCAGAAGGCTCACATGTACTTTTAACTGCCCCAATTGGAAGTAGTGTGTTTTTTCATTCACAGTCCAAGACTCAGAAATGACAGCCCCAACCTAACTCTATGTAAATCATGGGAATTGACAATGTATTTAAATGTACTTAAATTTGAAATACTGCTAATTAATAAACTAGCCATGTAACTGAACAAAATAAAGGGAAAAAACAGACTAATACCATCCTCTCTCCCCTACAAAAATAGAAAAAATAAAGGTAAGACATTATTGAAATGTAAAAACAAATAGAGACTATAAAAAAATTAAAAGTTGGCTCTCAGAAAAGTCTAAACAAATTAATACACCTACTTCAAGTCTAATCAAGAGGAAAAAAGGAAACAATATTTAAAATGAAAACTATGCCATACCTAAACCCACAGAAGAAAGTTTAAAAGTTATAGGCTGTATTAGAATAGCCCTTAATCCAATAATTTTAAACATCTGGATGTATCAAAGAAACAATGTTTCATATTCTCTATAAATCAGAAGCAAAATGAAGCGCTTTTTTCTATAACACTGACAGCTGCTGGGGGAAAGTTATTTGTGTCTACACAGAGTCAATATTTAGGAAGGTTAAGTTATCAGAACAGTGTATTGATGATGACATTTTCAATATATATATACAAATAATGTATGCATACATTTTATTCAAAGTTCTTAAATGATGTGTGTTTACAGTTTCCAAAGTATTTTCTTTAGCCTACAAGGGAAACGATCATATTGTAGTAGACTTCCATCTTCAGCCATAATAAACAATGTCTAAAATAACCCTCCCACTGTAAACAACCAGAAAAATTGACAATATGTACTTTATCAAGTGATTTCCAAAGATTAGACAATATAGAAGTGTGATTTATCAGAAAAGGAAAATAAACAAGATGACAAAAGTATGACGGACTGCCGTGATTTTCGGCCTGTAGGCAATTTCTGGAGTGTGATACGAGGACTTAAAACTCAAACAGAGCCCAGTAATCTCACCTTAAAGTAAACAAAAGATCAAATATGAAAAGACGAAGACAGTTGAGAATATGCAGGAATAATGCAAGAGAAAAGGGAGCTAAACAAAAGAGTTTCCGATGTCAGTATAGGGTCCCCTAGAGTTTTTGCCTGAATCCTGATCTTCACATGCATGGGTGTAATGCCTACTACACAAAGCAAAAACAGTTTCTGGTGAAAGAACAGTTATGGGGGGGGCTATAAATTGAATAATTCCTGGAAATCACAGAAGACTAGAAAACACTCAAGTCCACACTGAGGACAATGGAGAAAACTCCGTAAATCATAGGCTGTTCACTAGTAACGTTTTAGTAATGTGACTAAATTAACCTGAGGGTACAAGCAATTCTAGATGCACTTCTCAAAGAGCTTAAAAACAAGCCTCAGAAAGATCACAGTAACATGTAACTTAACTGCCAACCAGACAAAATCCAATGCTTTTTAAAAGAAAAACAAAAACAACAAAAAAAATCACTAACTCAATTAGAGTAAATTGTGAAGTCTGACTTTCATTCAAATATCTCTGGACTGGCAAAAAAAAGCAGAAAATCTGATTCACAGCCAGAAGAAAAATCAGTCAGTAGAAATGGACCCAGAAATGACAGAGATGATAAATGATAGAACTTAAAACAGCTATCATAAATATGCTGAATGTGCTCAAAGATTTAAACAAAAACATGAATATAGTAAGAGAAGTAGGCTGGGCGTGGAGGCTCACTCCTGTAATCCCAGCACTTTGGGAGGCCGAGGCGGGTGGATCACCTGAGGTCAGAAGTTTGAGACCAGCCGGACCAACATGGAGAAACCCTCTCTCTACTAAAAATACAAAATAAGCTGGGAATGGTGGCGCATGCCTGTAATCCCAGCTGCTCGGGAGGATGAGGCAGGAGAACTACTTGAACCCGGGAGGCACAGGTTGTGCTGAGCCAAGATCATGCCATTGCACTCTAGCCTGGGCAACAAGAGCAAAACTCCGTCTCAAAAAAAAAAAAAAAAGTAGAAGATATAAAAGAGGAAACTTAAATGAAACTTCTACAGATCAAAAATACAATTTCTAAAATGAAGATTTCACTGAACAAGATTACCAAGAGATAAAACATTACATAAGAAACGATCAATGAACTTGAAGATAAAGTAGTAGAAAATATCCAAAATGAAGAAAGAAAATTTGAATGTATGAAAAATAAAACTAAGAAGCGACCTGTCAAAGTTCAAAATTTGATGAAAATTGAAAGTCTACTGATCAAAGATGCTAAATGAATGCCAAACAAATTGCCACAAACAAAGAAACCCCAGAAATATAATGCTTTTTTTAAAAAAAAAAAAAAAAGAAAAAGAAAAAAGGAGGCAGAAGCATATTCTGCATCCAGGAAAAAGTAAAATGAGAAACTTCTCTTTGGAAAATTTGCAAGTGAGAATAATATCTCACTAAAAAGCTGAAAAGGAAACAAACAAAACTGTCAAACTCAAATTCTATAATTGGTTTAAAACATATTTCAAAAATTAACACAATAAAGATTATTACAGGCAAATGAATAAACTCAAAAACCTCTGAGGTCAGTTTAACTTGCAAATCTACAAAACATTTTATA
Organism: Homo sapiens; assembly: GCF_000001405.40. Classification (NCBI taxonomy): domain Eukaryota; kingdom Metazoa; phylum Chordata; class Mammalia; order Primates; family Hominidae; genus Homo; species Homo sapiens. The sequence continues at coordinate 13,756,184 of NC_000008.11, read as the reverse complement.
GGGCGTTCTTCAGGAAGAAGGAAAACAAAGCCCAAAGGGAACTTGCATATGCACGAAGGAATCAGGAATGCCAGAAATGATCAATACACAGGTAAGCTAAAGCATTTTTAAATTAGAGTATCTTCTCACGTTTTTAATTTCCTTAAAAATTGACTATTTAAAGCAGAAACAATGACACCATATTGTGATATATTTAACATACTCTATTTTAAAATGTATGACAGCAACAGCAAAAAGGACAGAAAAGGTGTAATGTTATAAGGTTCCTGCATTACAACTAAAGAAACAATATTATTTAAAGACAACTAAGTTAGTAAGTTGAAATCTTTGAGCAATCTCTAAAAACTAAATAAAAGGGAAACAGTGAAGTAAAGTTGGAGTATATAAATAGTCCCAAAAAATGGGAAAAGAGGAAAAAGGGGTAAACAGACTGGACAAACCCAAAACAAATAACATGACTGGAGATTGAAACTCAATTATATCCAAGTGTTCCAAATGTATGTTGTCTAAACAATCCAATTTAAAGTCATTCCTTAGTTAGACGGTAAAAGATTTATATATTCTACAACAAAGTCACTTAAAATAAACACATAATTCATTTCAGAGTAATTAAAATGACTGAATTGCAGCCAAACATATCAACATGGATAAGTCTTAGAAGATGTCAAATGATGTTTAGAAAATAAGTTGCAGAAGAGTATGATACCACTTCAATAGATAAAATAGTGTTTTATTTAAAGATATATTAACACAGGGGAAAGTATAAACTCAAGCAAAATCATGTCCCCAAAATTCAGCCTTTGGGGAGGAAGGGGTAAATCAGCCTTGTTAGAAGCCAGAAGGAACATCAGCTGTAGCTGATAAGGCTCAGTGGCAGTTTCAAAAATGTTAATTTCATTGTTCTGCTTCAATGTGTATTATATTAATTTATGTAAATGAATAAACTGTATACCTATTATATATATCATTACTATCACATTATGAAAGATATATTATAGAAAGCCAAAAAAAAATACCGCAAAAAAAGATTACTTTGTAGATGCTTGAGACAGCCTTATTAAAATAAATGAGTCTTCATTTTTTTTTCTGAAAGGATTCACGAAAACTTTACACTTGTGTAATAAAGCAGAGATTAGATTTAATCTTAGGAATTTATTTCAAATTGATTAATCAACTCAGCAAACTCCTTTGTTTAACCACAGATTTCTTAATAGCTCACACTAAGACTTTTCAGGGTTTATCTGCTGTAAAATATTTGGACTCACGAAAAAAGATGTATTCTTATGCTACAGAACTTTTGTTTGCTCTTCTAATGGTAGTTGAGGAGAATTTGACAAAAACAGTGTATTTAATTTTAATGTATCCTCGTCTTAACAAAAGGAAGACATACTCTCCGGTTCCACAGTCCTTCTTGGGTGATTTTTCAACACCACCCTTCTTCAGAATGTAATCTTTAAAAGGTAATTTCATTTTACTTTGATCCGCTTTTCAACTATCTTTCCAAGTACATGTTACAGGCTACTTGTCCAGACTCTTAGTGAGATAAGCCTCCTTGTATCTTATTAATGATGTAGCTTAAGCTGCATCTTATGAGCATTACAGCCACTTATGTGCTGGTGTGCTCTCAAGCCATGATTATAGCTCCAATCCATGATCATATGTATTTCAGAATTTTTAATTTTAATAACCACAACTTTGTTAGATTTTAAATTATCTGGAATGTATGTGTAGCATTTTTTCCAATGTACATGCAGCATTTTTCCCATGAGAACATTTTATTCCCTATCTAGAATAAAATCGGGAATCAATTAGTTCTGTAAAACCATTGTTCTGTTACTTTACACTAAAATGTGTAGCAGAGTATTGATTGTATTAATATTGACTTTAAAACGTTAGCCAAATAGCTAATTTCTAAAATTAATTGGGTCATTTTTTATATTAGAAAAGTTATAGTCATAAAGTGATCAAACACAACTCTGCCAAGCTGGTTGTGTTCTATTTCATTAGGAACTACCAAGGAGAAATACAGGTATCCTGGAGATCTCTAAGGCTTTCAAGTACATCAGAGTAAGCACCATTTAGAAACATTTAAATGATCTGGATTCTCTCCTATGGAAACAGATTTCTAAGACAGAGATTTCATGCAGGAACTTTATTGGAAGTGCACTCAGGAACAGCTGTAAGGCAGTAAAGAAAACAAGACTGAGCAAAGGGAAAAGTTGAACTATGATACAATTGCAAGATATTCATTAGTTGGGAATGACTGCCTTAAGCCTTAAAGGAAAATTAGAGTGCCCTACCACAGAATATGTTCACATGAAGGACACTCACATTTTCACAGGGCATATTTTCCAGCTTCGGGAGTGAGCTCATGTATCTACCCAAAGCCTCCAATATATTTGCCACATCTTTCTCATTTAAGATTAATGGATTTCGGCCAGGCACTGTGGCTCACACCTGTAATCCCAGCACTTTGGGAGGCCGAGGCAGGCAGATCACGAGGTCAGGAGTTCGAGACTAGCCTGGCCAACATGGTGAAACCCCGTCTCTACTCAAAGTACAAAAATTAACCAGGTGAGGTGGCAGGTGCTTGTAATCCCAGCTACTCAGGAGGCTGCGGCAGGAGAAATGCTTTAACCTGGGAGGTGAAGGTTGCAGTGAGCCGACATTATGCCATTGCACTCCAGCCTGGACAACAGAGTGAGACTCTGTCTCAAAATAAATAAATAAAAAATAATGGATGTCATTGGTAAACTGGACTCATGATGTTACACAGGATGTGTTGATGGAGCAGGTCTTTTCTGACTATATTATGACAGAGAAGAAGAATCAATGTAGTACACAGCAAGCCTTTGAATGTGTAATGTCACTGTGGCATGAAAACCTCTCTTAATTTCCTTCCTGATAGTACTGGAAGAAATTATGCCAGATCATTGGTCACATATTATGTACTCGAGGCTTCGTTAGCAAGTGTGGCAACAATACCACATTTATCACTGTAGCTACAAATGAGGCTTCTCCTTGTTTAGATTTATATTAGTCCACGGTTATCACCCAGAACCCATGAGCCAGATACTGCAAATTACATGAGGATGTAACAAGTGGACCATCGTCCCTGCATCATTTAGGTCATTACACTAGTATCTGCCATTCTGCTTGTGATACAATACAGATTTTATTCGTTTGGCCAGACTTACCATAACACTACAATAGTCTTACCGTATAGGACAAAAAACAGTTATATTCCACCAAGGATACAACATGTTCACTCCAATTACACACATGGATCAGAGAAACAGCCACTTCATTCACACAGAGAACCCACAAATCCACTGTGAACCAGACTTTGACCAAGATTCCATGTATTATCTGGTCTCCATAATCTCTCTTTAATGTAGGGGAAGGGTAGGATAATGCTTTGGTTTCCCTGGATAATGTACTCATACACTGTATCCAGAAGTCTTTGAAATGTTTGGGTGTTCTCCTTTTCCCAATATATAGTTACTCAAGTTAATGTTGTATTTCCTTTGGGGATGACTTGAGGAAATCACTTCAGTGTACATTTGCTATGGTGTGTCAAGGTTCTTCCTGAGGGCAATGGTTCTGGGTCTGAGAATTGGTTCAGGTCCAGAAACTAAGTGAAGGATTCTGACTTTTTATTGGTGCAATGACCTTAAGCTTCCTGAACTTGATTTATTTTTCATCCTTGATTCTTTTTGTTGTTGTTGTTCAGATTAAGAAACTCAATGTTTGCCAATCTCTCTTACTCCTAGAAACACCATAACCTGAAACCTATCTCAACCTTTCTGCATGTCCAGCCTTTGGACGGCTGGGGCCAGTGTTGCCAGTCGTAAAAGAATTTACCAAAGCAGTCTTAGGTAAAGAAAGGCAAATTTATAAGAGAAAGTATGAAAATATGTTACAAGAGTGCAATGGGCTGCCCAGCAGCGAAGGGGCTGTCTGTAAAGAGTCAGGGGCTGGAGGGAAGTTTCATAGGATTGTGCTTGAGGGACTAAGTGTGGACGAAGTTTGAACGGCTGGGGCTACATGCCTAAGGAGGTATTTGGGAACAGGATGTTGTGCCAGCAGGAGGTCTGTGTTCAGTCGTCCCTCAGAACAATAGTTCTCCCTGACCCGGAGCCCCTAATCTTACCAGGACTTTACAGCCTCCTGGATTATGACTTTCACATTTATATGATGTTTGTATTCATTTCATTATTTACAGGTAAAAATCACTGTCTAGCCTAATGAAGATTTTATATTCTATTACCAGCTAGATTTTATTATTTTCAGATTCCATCATCTATTAAGTTTCCGCAAACTGGTCTCCTACTTTCAGTTCTAGTCTAAAGATGATAGTTAGCCACCACTGAGCTTCTTCACAAATGTTGGTACAACTCTCACCAGAAAATAATTTAAAACTATGACAATTGTGGTACTGGTCAGTTTTCCTGGGTCTTTATGTAGAATATAGTTGACTGGTAGTTTTCCCAGTCTTCTGTAGTGTGCCCATTTCTAGTCTGCCTATTTCTCTGGAGTTTTTGATGTCTTATTCAACATTCTACTGCATTATGTGTCATTGGTTTTTTTTTTAATAGTGTTTTTGTGTATAAACTCTTCCTCATCCAATTTTATTATTGAAGCCTGCTTAATCCGACGTCATCATGTTCTAATGCCATGCATCCTCTTCCAATTCCTGCTGATACATATTGCCTAGGGCCTACTACTTTTTTAGTACGTAATTACTTTCTTCCCTTAGCCAGTCCAGCACTTCTTCAGCTGGATTATGCTGTGACTTAAACTTAATTATCATTCTGGTGGCCAGGAGGAAAGATAGGGGCAGAGTCTGGGGGTGGGAACAAAATGGTTCTCAAGACAGAGGCTTGTGCATCATTTTCAAGCAAGGAGAGAGAAGTATTAGCCATTGATACGACAAAGGTTCTCAAGTGCATTGACCTAGATGTCTCAATCCCACATTTCAGTTTTCTGATTCTACATTAGGGCTTTGGATTGCTGGGGTTAAGAAATGAATCTTCTCCAGAGATCAACTACTTTAAAAAATCAAGCCCTGGGCCTGATATTCAGCTTTGTCTTCAAAAGATGAAGATTTATTTACTATTTATTTATTTTTATATACTACCAAGGGTCCTCTGATTTTCACACTTTGCCTTAAACTGGTGATAATCATATCTAGTTTTTTATTGTCTTTTTTGAATGCACAGATTTTATTCGACAACTGTCATCTGTTTCCTTAGTCCTTAAAATTATTACTTATCCTATAATTCTCAAACAACTGAAAGCAATTGCATTCCATTTCAGTGCTGTCCCATTTAGTGATAGTATTAACTACTTCACACTACAGCATGGCAGAGGAAGACCAAGCCATAAGGGTGTTATTGCCATCCAACCAGTGGGTGATCCAATTTACCAAATTTTATTATTATGTCTGCTTCCAGGACAATGTCTGCTACCACCTATCTTAGATAAGGTTTCCTGGAAAGAGATTCTAACATGAGATTTGTCACCAAGAGGTTAATTGAGAAGTGCATTTAGGACGACCATATGTGAGGAAGCAATAATAGTTGAATGAGCAAAAGGGAGGATTTGAACCATGTTACAGTTACAACCGATACCACAGAAGACTCAATGGGGAAATCTGAGTCTGGGATGGCCCTTTGGATAATGGCAAAGTTTTTGTCCCTCTGCATCTACTAGTCATTGGATGTGAACTGTCTTGGGGAAAAGGATGCAAACTTGGTTGAAACAGCTTTCTCTTGCTGAGGGCAACTCCTGATGGAAAAGGGCATCTGTGTTAGTCTGTTCTTATGCTGCTATGAAGACATACCTGAGACTAGGTAATTTATAAAAAGAGGTTTAATTCACAGTTCTGCATGGCTAAAGTGGCCTCAGGAAACTTACAATCATGGTGGGAGGGGATCCAAACACATCTTTCTTCACATGGCAGCAAGATAGAGAAGTACAGAGTGAAGGGAGGAAAAGCCCCTTATGAAACCATCAGATCTTGTGAGAGTTCACTATCACAAGAACAGCATGGGGGTAAGAGCCCCTGAGATCTAATCACTTCCTAGGAGGTCCCTCCCACAACACATGGGGATGACAATTTGGATTACAATTCAAGATGAATTTTTTGGGTGGGGACACAGCCAAACCATATCAGCATCTATCAGCCATAAGCATTCTGTAAAGCTCAAATGATAACATTCAATTGAAATAGCAACATGAAAATTAGATTCATATGATTTTAGGGGGTATGAATGAACTAAAGATTTTAATAGTAACTAAAATGAGTACATCATATTTCCTAGCATCGATCTTAATTAGTTTATGTTGACAAGCCCTTCCCTCCTTATGAAAGTCATTGGATAGCACACGACTGCAAAGGGTGAGAAAAGAAATAATGTAGTGTGATTGGATGTTTCTTCACTCTATGCCAGAGAATTTAGCCACTAATGCTGGGCATTTATTTTCATGGACTGAAGACCTCAGTCTTAATATTTGGTAGTTTATTTTGTTCTGAATAAGTTAATTCTTTGCACTATTATCCTGTCTCTGCTATAGTTATCACCAGCACAATTGCAAAGTATTCACAAAGACCAGTGTACCTAGCACAGAAAGAGTAAGGGAAACTAGTGGGAAATGAAATAAGAGGTAATGGAGAGTGCATACATCATGAAAACAAGTTTAAATATGCCAGCACCAGTGGATATCCCTTGGCAATATGGCTTCTTGGTTTACCTACAGCTCTGAGGTTTCATTTTCCCTTCAATTTCATCTAATAAGTTTATTTAAGCTTGTGAAATCTTAGTTTCTTTAAAAGACGCATTTGAAATGTATTTTATCCTAAGATTTTGTTGTTTTCAGCACGACATTTGATCTGCATAACTTATTTGTCCACTCTTAAAAATGAACGTAGGCTGCGCCCAGTGGCTCATGCCTGTAATCCCAATGCTTTTGGAGGCTGAGATGGGAAAACTGCTTGAGTCCAGGATTTTGAGACCAGCCTGGATAACACAGTGAGATCTTGTCTCTACATAAGATTTAAACAATAACCAACATGTCAGCATGAGCCTGCAGTCCCAGCTACTCAGGAGATTGAGGAGAGGAATCCCACTAACCCAGGAGGTTGAGGCTTCAGTGAGCCATGATTATGCCACAGCACTGCAGCCTGGGCAACAGAAGACCTTGTCTCTCAAAAAAAAAAAAAAAAAAAAAAAACAAAGGAAGTCACAACAGTTAATTTTTAAAAATTACCAGGTGATATGGTTTGGTGTGTACCCACACAAATGTCATCTTGAACTGTAGCTCCCACAATTCCCACAAGTCATGGGAGGAACCCAGTTGGAGGCAATTATATCATGGGGCTGGGTCTTTCCCATGCTGTTCTCGTGATAGTGAATAAGTTTCACAAGATCTGATGGTTTTCAAAACGGCAGTTTCCCTACACAAGCTCTCCCTTTGCCTGCCGCCATCCATGTAAGATGTGACTTGCTCCTCCTTGCCTTCCGCCATGACTGTGAGGCATCCCCAACCACTTCGAACTGTAATTTCATTAAACTTCTTTTTCTTCCCAGTCTGTGGTATGTCTTTATCAGAAGCTTGAAAATTGATTAATACAGTAAATTGGTACCAATAGAGTGGGGTGTTGCTGAAAAGATACCCGAAAATATGGAAGCAATTTTGGAACTGGGTAACAGGCAGAGGTTGGAACAGTTTGAAGGGCTCGAAGAAGACAGGAAAATGTGGGAAAGTTTGAAACTTCCTAGAGATTTGTTGAATGGCTTTGACAAAAATGCTGATATTGATATGAACAATAAGTTCCAGGCTGAGGTGGTCTCAGATGGAGATGAAGGAGAGGAATTGGAACAAAGGTGACTCTTGTTAGGTTTTAGTAAAGAGACTGGTAGCACTTCACCCCTGCCCTAGAGATTTGTGGAACTTTGAACTTGAAAGAGATGATTTAGGGTATCTTATGGAAGAATTATTTAAGCAGCAAAGCATTCAAGAAATACCTTGGGTGCTGTTCAAGGCATTCAGTTTTATAAGGGAAGCAAAGCATAAAAGTTTGGAAAATTTGCAGCCTGACAGTGAGATAGAAAATAAAGTCCCATTTTCTGAGGCAAAATTCAAGCCAGCTGCAGAAATTTGCTTAAGTTGCAAGGATCCTAACATTAATGCCCAAGACCATGGGGAAAATGTCTTCAGGGCCTATCAGAGACCTTTGTGGCAGACCCTCCCATCACAGGCCTGGAGGTTTAGGTGGAAAAAATGGTTTCGTGGGTCAGGCCCAGGGTCCCCATGCTGTGTGCAGCCTATGGACCAGGTGCCCTACATCCAAGCTACTCTATCCATGGCTGAAAGGGGCCCACAATAGACCTCTGGCCGTGGATTTAGAGGGTGCAAGCCCCAAGCCTTGGCAGCTTCCACATGGTGTTGAGTCTGCCAGTGCACAGATGTCAAGGACTGGTGTTTGGAAACCTCTGCCTAGACTTCAGAGGATGTATGGAAAGGCCTGGATGCCCAGGCAGAAATCTGCTGCAGGGGCTGGGCCCTCATGGAGAACCTCTAATAGGGCAGAGTGGAAGGGAAATGTGGGGTCAGAGCCCCCACACAGATCGCCTCCTGGGGCACTGCCTAGTGGAACTGTGAGAAGAGGGTTACTGTCCTCCAGACCCAGAATGGTAGACCCACCAACAGCTTGCACTGTGTGCCTAGAAAAGCCAGATACACTCAATGCCAGCCTGTGAAAGCAGCTGGAGGAAGACTGTATCCTGCAAAGCCACAGTTCCCATGCCCAAGACCATGGGAACCCACCTTTTGCATCATCATGACTTGGATGTGAGACACAGAGTCAAAGGAGGTCATTTTGGAACTTCTAGATTTGACTACCCCACTGGATTTTGGACGTGCATGGGGCCTGTAGCCCCTTTGTTTAGGCCAATTTCTACTATTTGGAATGGGGTGTACTTATCCAATGCCTGAACCCCCATTTTATCCAGGAAGTAACTAACATGCTTTTGATTTTATAGGCTCATAGGTAGAAGGGACTTGCCTTGTCTCAGATGACACTGCAATGAGTTAAGACTTTGGGAGAGTGTTGAAAAGCGTGATTGGTTGTAAAATGTGAGGACATGAGATATGGAAGGGGCCAGGGATGAAATGATACCGTTTGGCTGTGTCCCCACCCAAATCTCATTTTGAATTGTAACTCCCACAATTCCCATGTGTCATGGGAGGAACCCAGTGGGAGGTAATTGAAGCATGGGGACGGTTCTTTCCCATGCTATTCTCACGATAGTGAATAAGTCTCTCGAGATCTGATGGTTTTAAAAATGGGAATTTCCCTACACAAGCTCTTTGCCATCCATGTAAGACGTGACTTGCTCCTCCTTGCCTTCCACCATGATTAGGAGGCCTCCCCAGCCATGTGGAATTGTAAGTCCATTAAGCCTCTTTCTCTTCCCAGCCTCAGGTATGTCTTTATCAGCAGCATAAAAACAGACTAATACGCCATGTCATTCCAGCATCCCAGCAGATTCTGAATGAGGTAGGTAGTGAAAGTGTAGTCATGTTTTCTGGATAAAGTCAAGGCATGTATCTACAAAATCCAATCACGGTGGAGAGTGACCTGCCTTTTTTTTCCTTGAAAGATTGTCTGCATTATGAGCTTGCCAAATTGTGCTGGTAATACTACTGAGCCACTTTGGAAAATTGGAAGCATACAAATTATATTTCACTATTTCTGTCACCTCACCTCTTTGCTCTTGTGTGCCATCTTCTGGCTTCTATGAGTTTAGAGGAGACTATCCTTAGGTGACCTCACACTACCTTTTAGGAGGTCCAAAAAGTAATTTAGTATGAAAAGTTCCTTACAGTCTCAGAGAAACCCTTTGAGCATGTGGCCTGATCTTCCAGGGGAAAGATCTTATGATCAAGATACTTGTTCTAGAATGATAGTCCTATTTCAAGCAAAAGAGGCTTAACAAATGATGCATGTCTCAGGAGCTGTCAATAACAATAGCTATCCATGCCCAGGATTATCTGCATGTTTGAACTTGGAATAGCTTGTGACTTTACTTTGAAAGATGAAGGCTATTTTGTGCCATAAGGAGCAAACTTGGAATTTTTAAAACGTAGTTTTACTTTAGATTCTTTATGACTCTTTTGGGCTAGATTTTTAAAAATTAAATGAAGGCATCGTGTTTACAATCCTTTTCTGAAAGAAGGATAATGGAAGATTAACTGATATGCATAAGGACAGAATAACTAAAATCACACAATACCATCCACATCCCTTTGAGAATTTGAGATAATAAAAAACATTCCACTTGGCCTTGTAATGCAAGTAGCCTGGAAGCTTTATATGAAAAAAATAAAACAAAAATTTGCTAGCAGGGTGAGATGGGACAGAATAAAAGATAGGGTGTAAATCTGTAATTGTAAAATACTTAACAGCAGGCGGGATGCATAAAAAATATAGCATCTAGATCAGGGACAAATGGAAAAGAAGGCGATATTACTGCATTAGGTTCCCAGAGGTGCTATACAAACAGAAACATGTTTTCTAAATGGTTAAACAGGTATTGAAATGACTCTTTATCAGAACTATGAGTCTTTTTCACAAGAGAAATTGGATTTATTAGTTGAATGTTCTTCTCTTCCTCTGGCCACAAAGGATATTGGGGCAACTTGACAGAGGAATCAATAACGTATAGTCTGATGGACACTCAATGATCAGCCTCATAATCTGACTACATAAGCACAATAAAACAAAGTCAGAGTGTCTTGCAAGCTGTCATAGGGGCACTAAGCTGAGAGAAGGACCTTAGTTAAGGCAGCTAGCACTGATAAGTTTTGTTCAAGCATTCTATCTTTCTATATTCCATTTCACGTCTACTAAATGGTGTCCAAAGTTGCAAAGGTGGTTCTACCCTAATAAGGTAATGGCGAGAAACTATTCTGTATATTGCATAATGATCAGAACAAAACCCAAAGAAATATTTGTAAGGTAAAGGACAAAATGTGTGTGTCATTAAAAACTTTATGATACAAAGACTAGGGAATTCTTGATTTCTAAGAGTGGAATTGCTTACACCTACGTGGGTGATTAATTTGGGTGCTTGTAGTATGCAAGAATATAAAACTAGCTTGTTGTAACAACACGGATAGAGCCAAGATGAAATTTCAGGATTAGCATATCTAGGATATCCACAAGAAGTGGGAATTTAATCTGGGCATTTGCCTGTCAGCAGTTTGGCCTGGTAGTTAATTCTGAATATGAGGTCAATATGAGGACTTCTTTCAGTGATCTTCCTCACACTAAGGGTCCCAGCACTAAGCCTTTAATGAAAACCTCATCCAGTCTTATTATACCCTGGCTTCTTTACCAACCCTGGCGATTTCCTCCTAACTTTTCTGTGGTCTCAAAGTTTTCAGCTTATAAAGCCACGCATTTAGTTTTATTACTTTCTGTTTCTTATCATGGCAATCCATGCAATTTAGGGTCAGTTACAGAATTACCTTCAATTAATAGGTTTGCTTGCCAACTGATGTAGACAGACTTTTTTTTTTACAAACAGACTTTTTGTTACAAGCCATACTTTTAGAATGAACTGAAATAAAAATCATTACATTTTAGCATCAAGAAATAGAATTTTTTTTAGCTGAACTTAAAGATTTTCAAATTTGGTTTTGAGTTGTATTTAGTTACCTAAATGTAAATTCCATAGCCTAATGTATGGCACATAACAAAAACAAATTTAAATTTGGAATGGACTTATGATCATCATTGCATAGTGAATGCTGATGATAAACTAATAAAACTGGGAAATCAAAAAAAAATCATCTGATCTATCATGACCTGGAAATCCTAATTTAATAAAATACAGATGCTACCTGGAAGAAATTCCCCACTTCCATAGTAGCCTCATTCAAGAAGCTCTAATATAATAGGGTCTGATGAGATTATCTGCCTTGAACGAAGATTTTATTATTTAGAATAACTGGAATATTTGACATTGGGGCACTAGGAGATCCATTTTGCAACAGTTTGCCTTTTTGTTCTTTTTATCCCCATTTTAGATTTACACACTATTTGGTAAAAGGAAGTCTTTACACATCTTCCTTTTAATAATGGACAAGTAGAAAACATCTGAGAGGGTATTTTAGAAAGTATTTATTAAGTTAAAATCTTCATTAGGAAAATAACTTATCACCAATGAAAACAATGCGTGAATGTGCTTCTTATTGTGTTCTTGTTGTGTGAATTTTTGTGTAAATACTTCCTTTTACATATAAAAATTACTATTCAGACCAGACTCATCACTAATGAATAAAAAAACGGGAGTATAGCTTATTTTGGAATTACCTCTCCTAACAGAATAAAATGCATGAATTCTCAGCCTGATTCTTAGCTGATGTTTTAAACCAATTATTTTAGGACTGTACTTAGATAACTCACATTAATGTCTAAAGGACCTTGCTATGAATCATCAAGCAATGTCCTAACATATACAAATAGAAATATCCCAGTGTGCTTTTACCATTATGCACATTGAAGAATTTGCAATTCAGTGTTTTCCTTCAACTAACTACAAAGCCTGTAAAGGTCTTAGATGCCTTTCATCTCTCCCCAGAGTTACTGATCATTTTTTTTGTTTTATTGACACTTCTGCCCTTTAAATGTAACTAATTTGTACTACAAAAGTGGTTCGTGGGAGGTTCTATGAAGAGCTTATTAGTAAAGCACTGTGGTTTTTTTGTTTTGTTTTTTAATTTTCAATGCTGGCAGGCCATTCATTGAACTTCAACCTAATTAATCATCTAGAAATCAGTTACAATCTTTAATTGATAGCATTGTGGTAAGTTAATGTATAAGTTTCTAAATCATATCACAAACCAAAGAGCAGCTGTTCCTTAAACCATGTTCGACTAGAAGGGAGAGGACGTAATCTGATTACACATGAGAAGAAAACCCCATTTGTAGAAAATAATTTAAATTGATAATTACTGTAAACCAGCCCCCCTCCCCACACACACTTTTTAATAATGGGTTAACTTTGCCCTTTCTGTATGGCCATCGCTGGTTTTCTGACTAGTTGCCTAAACATGTTTCTCATATAAGCAAAACTGAACATGCTGCTGCTATTAATCATTAAACTTTTTTAAATGTGGTTTTCTGGAAAACTGGTACTTTGGGAGTTTTATAATAACCCTTTTAAAGTCTAAGCCACCACATCTCTGTAGTTCATTCTAGAAAACGTGTTTTGTCTTTATCTTTAGTAATCCGAGACCACTGTAAAATTAAGGCCATCAGGGAAATAGCAAACTGATGTGTTTTCATAGTGCTTTTTTCACACTACTGCTTGATTGACACATCTTTCTGAAACATTTTTATCAGTCTAGATGAGCCTCAAGTGCTTCTGCATTACAGTAGGTGGTCAGGCATTTGCCACATCTTAATCTTTTCACTAATTTCCTATACATGTTATCTTGATCAGGACAGGTATCAGTCAGAAATTATGCATGTTTGGGCATACTAAGATACTGTTCGTGAAGGTAACTGGTTTTGTTAAAATTAAGCCATACGAAGTATGTTCATTTGTCAGATTTGGTTTGGAAGGTGCCTGAGATACTGGTAAGGTATTGTGTTCTTGTGGTACAACACTAGGTAAAATGGAACCATTTTCTGTCCTGATTCTGTTTATATCAATTTTCAAAGCAGGATCTGATAAAACTAAAGGTGTTTGCTCTGTTTCACTGTGTCCATTAACTAAATCATGACTACTACAATTATTTTCAGAATTTGGCTCTATGTCAGCCATCTTTTGGTCTAACAAGCTTATATTTTAAACAGTGTCATCAGAACGTTCATTTCCATTCTGAACTAAACTGTTTTCTTTTCCATACTTCCTATACATGTCTTTGGTTCTGTAGAATCTTTCCTTGATTTGCTAGGAGAAACTGACAGACTAATGGTTTCTCAGTACTAGATGAATCCTTTTCCTGATGATTAGGATTGGAGTCTGTATGAACATCCCGAAGAATTGTCTCACTGGGTTGTGCAGATGATTCTGGTGTTTTAAACAGTGCTGAGCTTCATGTTCATATAGCAGAGGAAGATCTTCCAAAAGCTCATGGAATTCTGGAAAACTACACAGCTTGAAATATCCTGTGACTTTTTGTACGCTTGGCAAGCTGGAATGGCAGCTTAAATGACTCATTGCACAAAAATACACATTTGGATAGCTATGTCTATTAAGGTGGTCTGTAAAATGTTGAGAATCTTCAAACTGGCTTTGACGAAATTTGCATTTTCCTTTGTTCCACTTCAATACTGTCTGTCGCACATGTAAATCACCAGCTAATGTAGATGGATTTTAATTGTTCTCAAGGCTTAAGTTGTAACTAGTATTCCAAATAGCTACTGCTGTTTCAAAAATAACTTCAGAAGCATTATCGATGCCTAATTATTTCCATTCTGAATTAATCCTTGCTTTGTCTTTTCTTAGTATTAATTTTTGTGAAATCGGCCCTTCTAGGCCATTTTTGTTCTATACAATCTCTTAAGGCACTTTGACTCAAATGGTTCTGTGATATTGAAATTGATATTAAAATACAGCATTTCCAGGTACTGGGTAATAAATAATAGAAATCTGTTTCCAAGATTCCATGGAGCATGGAAGACGCACATTCTGACCCAGGCCACGGGGTTCTCTGCTCTTATGTGGGTGGTGTCTAGGGTACTGGTGATTGCTTTTGACTTAAATGGTTTATGACCGTGAAAACCATGGCTGGGTGGTTAAACCAAAAGTTCCATGATGTATATTTGTGTGTGTGTGTGTGTGTGTGTGTGTGTGTGTGTGTGTGTGTGTGTGTGTGTATTTCAAGCATGGTATTGCTAATGCATGTAGCAGAAGGCAATCAGGCAATAAAGCCTAGCAGGCAGCGTACACAGGAGCATTATGATTGCAAGGTTTTACAATTTTTTCAAACGACAAAATAAAAAAACACCCTCTTTACCCTCCTGTCTCCTGTTCTAATTAATGAAATGTAGTCACTATGAGATGAAACCTGTAGGGACAGAGACTGTTGGGAGAAAAAAAAATATCCATTTGGTATTTTAAGGTCTGACTTCACATTTTTTTTACCTGGAAGTCTGTGAGATTCCTCATTCACTGCTTGTGTGTATATTTCAGAAGTTCTCTGTCACAAACTGAAGCAAACCACTGAGCCACAGCATTTTCTTGTCCATGGAATCTGCTATACTCCTGAGGTTCTCCATTTAGTTTTTTAATACTTCTTTCTGTTTAGCTACATATTTTTGAGTGACCAACTTAATTTTAAGGAATTTTTAAAATGCTGTGATCTTAATAAATTTACAGTATGCAAGGGTTCACATCAGTGAAATAGGTACTGGCTAGATTTTCTCCAGAGCTCAATTAAAACTAAATCAAATAAAAAAATAGCACCCATGAATATATACTTCTTAAACTGAAATAACTTCAACATAGGAACAATTATACCTATTTAACAGAATGCATGGAGTCATGAAGTAGAATACATCCAAGCTACATTATTTTAAAGTCAATTATCTTTTGAACAAATTTGAATAATAAGAAAAAAATCTGTGTGTCTTGCTCTTAGTTGATTCGGAAACAGGCACGTAGCATAAATTAGTCAGCATAAGATTAACAGTGTTAATGTTAAACCTGAGGGAGACACATACTCTTTAAGTATAGACAAGAAATATGTAGCCTTGGCAAATGTCAGCACCCACCATTTTAAGAGGGATCACTCATATGAAAAAGTATCATTTTTTGACATTGGTGAGCTACTCGATTAAATCAGCCTTGCAGTTTTATTATAAATGAACTGCAGATGCAGTTCATTCTGCATATTCTGTTACTGACAAAATAAAGAATAAAGTGATCAACTTGGCCCATAAAGCTTAAGAAAACTTGCATTAGTGTAGTTACGGAAAAGCAATGGCTTATGAGTTGAAACGTAGAAATGTTACTTACAAATAGTGACACCAGAATTTCTCCTAGAAACCATATTGAAAATGGCTTGATGAAATGAGCCAATTTTGTACTTTAAAACTGTGGCTCTGCTGGGTTTTGCCAAGTTTTCCTACGGGAGAACTAAATGACCCTGAAAATTACAGAGAAAAGCTTTCAGAATTCTTGAGATCATCTGAGATATACACAATAAAAGAAGTGGAACATGGTTTAAAAAAAAAACTGCAGGGCAAAAATTGCAAAATCCTGCAAGCTATGCAATTAACCCCTTACTTTAAGTAGTCCCCTCACCAAAAAAAAAAAAAAAAAAAAAAAAAAAAAAAAATCCAGAAAAGTCTATCACCCTGATGAATGTTTGGCAACAGATTTATTTTTGTAAATGAGTGTCAGGTTGGGGTTTTGTAGAAGCAAAGCTCCACCTCAAGAAGCCAGAGCTCAGGAGGCAGAGAAGGCCAGGAGAACATAACTGCACTTCAACCCTAAATAAACATCAGCCAAAATTGGGGGGAGGATTTTGGACTTGAAGGTATGAGGAAATTTGGAAAGGGAGAAGCTTGGATATTCCAAGAAATGAAGCTTAAACCTCAAGAAAACATTTTGATAACTTTAAAATTTCAAGGTAGGTGAACAGAGCGATTTTTCTTTCTCCACAGTCTGTTGACCCGGATTCAATGTAAGGGCGAAAAAGTTTTTGCTTCTCCCACTGAGTAGCATTAAAATTGGCAGTGATTGTTAGTAAAGCTAAACATATTCCACAGTGTATCCACACCAATGAAAAGAACTGGTCTACAAGGTATGCTTTAAATAGCCAGGTCAGGAGTGAAGTCTTAAATCCTGCTCCCAATCTGTCACTAATCAGGAATGGGAGCGTTACTGGGACTTGTACTAATGTAAGTCCCAGCAAGTATCATGTGGAATAACATTAGTATAAAATTCCCTTTGACTGTATAAATCTATAAAAAGCAATAGTAATTTGAATATATAAGCAATTCATTTAACACTTAGGCCTAATATCTGTACTAGTTCCTTTACTAGCCTGTGACAATACTATGACATTATTTGTATATGCCATTTAAACTTTCAAATTCTTTTCCCATATACCTGGTATTTTCTTTGTAAAAACACTATGGAAGAGGATTGGCAGTTAATATTATGCCTATTTCACTGATGAGGAAACTGAGGTAGAGGTAGAGTGAGGGCAAGGAATTTGCCCAATGTTGGACAACAAATAAATTATTGAACAATAACTAGAATCCAGATTTTTTACCTTTTAACTTAAGGATTTTGAACCAAAAAAGAATGTAACATACATTTTACATATATATATCTCCAATACTGTACTTTATATTTTATTCACTATACTTTATATTTATTGTACTTTGTCACATATATCGATACTATATTACTGTACTACCATATATTACCAATAAATAGTATTAAAATATTTTTATATGTACTATATATAATATATAGTATTGGATATTTATTATTTTACATATATTATATATACAATACTATATATGCATATATAGAGAGCAATATATATAATATATATGCAACAAATAGTATCATATATGATGTTCTTTCTTGTATTATATCTGATACTATTTATTGTCCCAGGATAAATAATGAACAATAGAAATAATAAATGCCCTGAGGTGCTGTAGACCAAAATGGAGTCAACATGGAAAAGCAACAGAGGCTTAATAGAAAAATAATTTTGTTCAGACAGACAAGTTTTTAGGAAGGACTAATATCTCATATCTAACTGAAGTAAACCACAGTCATAAACCACAGTACCCGAAGTTCAGTGAGTTTTCAAAAATACATCACCCACCAAAGATTAATCTCCAAGATCAACAAGCACTATTTGCAACATAGGAGAGTGAGTCCGCTGACAAATGGCTCGGAGAAAGGAAGCATTTGAAGGTGAAGATCAGTGACAAGTGAGGCTCCATGGGGATTAAAATATGAAGACCATTTTGATTCACTATTTTTTGTATTTCCAATGCTGGAATGGAAGCAACCAGTAAAAATGATGAAGGTTGCAAATGTGAATAAACAAAACACATCACATACCGGGAGGATGGGACAAATTAAGGGAACAGAACTTAATTCAAAATAACTTTGACAAAATTGGAGTCCAGGGAAATAATTTACTGATTCATGTACCTCAGCATGTGTAAACAGATATGAAATAACAAGACTAGAGTTACAAATAGCATAACAAGCAAGACACAGCCACGATGAGCAGAATCTGCATACTCTGGGGACTTTGAAGTATCCAGGGGTAGAGCATTATGCAAAACAATTTGGGGACCGGATCACTCCCTGACAATAGTAGCACTGATGCATCAATCTTTAATCTTTGGGACGCATAATAAAAAAAAAAAAAGGTGATGATTTTGTAACTTGTTGCATATTCCACAAGTTCCTTCTTCCATTTTTGCCAGATTTTATTTTCTGCCTGCTCTCCCAAATTTAGGCATTCCTATTTTCCTGTTTTTTCTTAATCGTATCTCATTTTTATGTTTTTTTCATCATCTTTCACATGTTTTCTTTTTTAATTTACAAACATCACAGATACACTAGTACCACCTTATTGGTGGCTTTGCTTTTTACAGTTTCAATTACCCAAGGTCAATCATAGTCCAAAAATATTAAATGAAAAATTCCAGAAATAAATGATTCAAATGTTTTAAGTAGCATGCCACTGTGATTAGTGTGATGAAATCTCACCTTGCAAAAATAAGGGCTACTTGAAACAGGCACTTTGATACCATGACAATCAGTCACTTAACCAAGATGGCTACTAACTGTAATAAACCCTAGTTTTGTACTTGTATTTGTTAAGTAGAATTAACATTTCAACCTAATTAGACCAGTTAGTTTTAATTCCTTCCCCAGGATTTGACTACTTTCTGTAACTCCAAAATTCCCTTACAATTTATCGTGGGACTCATAACCATTCTATGTCTAATCCCATCTCTGTGCCAAAGACACTTCTGCTAAGAAAAAGAATGAAGTCGGCCGGGCGCGGTGGCTCACGCCTGTAATCCCAGCACTTTGGGAGGCCGAGGCGGGTGGATCATGAGGTCAGGAGATCGAGACCATCCTGGCTAACAAGGTGAAACCCCGTCTCTACTAAAAAAAAAAATAAAAAAAAAAAAAAAAAAGAAAAAGAATGAAGTCAAATTTTATCTCTTTCAATGAAGTATAGGACAACAAGCATTGGAGGTGACTCTAGCAGTAGCAGGAATCCAAAAGTACTGAAAGGACACAGGCCCTGGCTTTCCCCTGTGGCAGCAGCATGCCCCAAAGGAGGCATGTTGGATGAAAGAGTGATCGGAGTGGAAGCTCTGGAGAGAAGTTCAGAGAAGAATGGACTGGAAGATGCACTGGGGCGCTGCTGGACATCTCAGTAAAGAACTGGCCCAGCTACTAAGATTGCTTGCCCTCAACTATCTCCTCCCTCTTCCAACTGGTCTTAATCCATTGTACGTTACTGTAACAGAATACCATAGACCAGGTCATTTTTAAAGAACAATGATTTATCTCTTACAGCTCTGGAGGCTGTGAAGTCCAAGGTCATGTGGCCTGCATCTGGTGAAGGTCTACTTGCTGCATCACCCCATAGCAAAGGCAAGAGAGTAAGAGGAGGCCACACTAACTTTTATAAGAACACCACTCTCGAGAAAACTACTCCTGATAATGACATTAATCCATTCATGAGGGCACACCATCCATGACCTAATCCCCTCTTATTAGGACCCCACCTCCCAATACTGTTGCAATGTGGATTAAGTTGTCAACACATGATCACTGAGGGACACATTCAAACCATAGCACAACTCTATTGAGATTCCATCAAGTGGCGCTCCACCTGGCTTGATGTAGAGCACTCACAAGCAAAAAGGGACCAATATTAGTGAACTGAGCCAGAAAACCTGTGCCTCGTCTAAGAGAACAGTCACTACTCAGCACATGTGAAATGGGAACCCTACATGGCCAAACCTCAACATTTGTTATTTAAAGAAAAGCTGCAACTATAAATTTCATGTATAACATTTAATTTTTTAAACGTTGACAACTGATTGCATTTTATTTTTAAAATATTGTCCTGGCTAAACAAAATGTATTTTCAAGACATCTGTGGCTCATGGCAGCCAACGGACAATTTGTGTCGTGGTTTAAATTCTAATCTGTAATACAAAATTACACCGATTCCGAGCCAGAAAGTGTTAAGATAATTTGCTTCCTTTTTAAATTGATCTTATGAGGATCCTTGAGGAGCCTTAAACTCTGTGGGGTTTGGGTAAACTGTTATGTAAAACATCATGATAATAAAAGCAAGTTGGATTTTTATAATTCATTGGAATTTGTTGTAAGAGTGACATGAGGTTTTTAAGTATGTATACCACCCGACACCTAATTTCAATCTTTGTTTCCACTAAAATTTTGAAAAGTTATATTTAGATCTTTAAGTAAAATGAGCACCCTACTGAAAGTAACCATAAGGTATTTTAAGTGCTTTCAATCTCCAAACAAAACATTGACAATTATAAATTATGAGAGTCAAATAGAATCAAATTATGATCTAGGTGACCTAAATTCACAATGATATACTTATCCCATTTCCAATATTAGACTTCATAACCTAATGGCCAAAGAGAGGGAAAGCATTTAAGTTAATGATATTACCAGCCAAAAAGGATGGACAGTGAGTGGAACAAAATTTCCTTGGCTAAAATGAAGAAGGTTACATAAAGATAGCATTTTAGATTTTAGTGGGAATTACTCATTTCTGGCTCTAAAATGTTGCTTTATTAATTAACATAAATTAGAATCAATTCTGTAAGAGCTATTTTTTTGTTTTACTTTTTAAACATCTTCATCTCTAACATGCTAAGTCAGACTGAAATACTTAGGTGTATAACATTTGTGCATCTCTTCAGAAACTAGAGTATGAAAGTAAAGTTTAAAGAATAAGAAAAATAGAGAATAAATTGTCAGTGTCTAATTTAAATGCTACCACTGAAATTAGTATCCTTATTCCAGGTATTGCATTTACATGATACTATAAGCTTAGAGACCAAATAAAACTAGTATGGATTAAGAAAAATCAGCTTTTAAGTGAGCCAAGATTATGCCACTGCATTCCAGCCTGAGGGATAGAGCAAGACTCTGTCTCAGGAAGAAAGAAAAGAAAAAAGGCTAATCAGGTTTCAAAGGTAAATAGTGTAAAGAAAATATACAAATCAACTTGCACTACAAACTCAGTTTTTCTAGCTACTGCTTGCTCCTACTGTTAGTTTTCATGGCAATAAGTAAAAAAGTAGGAAATAGCTATGTTTCATCCAATATCTATTTCCTCCTTTTCATTACAAAAATTGCTTTGTATCTCAGTGATTTTCACTCAGAATAAAAACTACATTTTCCAAACTACCTTGCAGCTAGGTGTGAACATATGGCTGATTTCTGGTCAAGGAGGTGTGACCATGAGTAATTTGTGCAACCTTTGAGCCATGTCATTTAAAGGAAGAGTTCCCCACTCTTTTTGTTTCAGACCAGGTCACTGGCTGGAATAGAAAAGTTATGGGCGATCCTGCACTACGTGGTAAAAGTCAACATCTTAGAGGGGCTGCAGCAATGTTGTAAAATGAACCTGGGCCCCTGGCACAAGGTCATCTTCATACTACTTCTGGCCAGACCGTATAGGAGAGAAATAACGCATATTTATTTTACTAGGTCAGTGTAAGTTTAGGTCTCTTTATAGTACCTATATATGATAACAAATAAAAAATTTGGTCAGAACAAGATCAAGAATAGCTAGCCATCACTTAGAAGTCAGTTGCAGAAACACAGAAAGTGTCTACAGGCAAACTAGTGTCCCTTATTACGCCGTGGGAAAGCATTTTGGGGTGTTATACAAAATCCTCATAGGGAAAACCGTGTGCCTCAGAGCTTGTAACTCTAAGAGAAACTATGGAGAAAAACTGACAAAATTGGTACGTATTGGGTGTTTCTTGGCACTTTCAGCAAAGTTCAGTTTGAGTGACTAAGATCAGTGCTATAAATGTGTATGCTGAAATTGAAAATAACTCAGTTTTTAGACAGATTTTTCTCAGCCTACGATCAGAAACCCAAGGTGACTAGGATCTGGAAACTTGGGGCCTTGGAATATTGATAAACACAACTTAAGCAACTTTTTACAATGATTCTGAAAAGGTAGTTTGGGGAACAGATAAATCTGTGCCCTGAAAGCCTTCACCTTTAAAGGCCAGATAATAGGAGTTCATTGAACAACTGAAAATCAGATTAAAATTACTGCCTTATTCCCTCAGCCTATTTTCAGATGGCTCCAAGGAAATCACCATTATATCAGGAGAAAGGGGAAGAGAAAAAGCAGAAGAGACAAGTAAATAAATGTTTTTAGGCTTAAAAACCTATCCAAGTGTTATCTTTGCTATGACCGTTAACATATGAAATTAATCAGAAACTAACCATCAGCAACGTTTTTGACTAAATTATATAATTAAAGAAACTACAAACCAGTCCTAAAAATTCCTAGGCAGCCAGTAAAACTAAAATTGGAGTTCCAAACATATACAAGAAGAAAACTGAGAAAAGCTGGTCCTCTCCAAGAAAATACCACATGCTCACTTCAATTATGACTTGCGCAGATCTTTCAGACAGCACCATTTGAGGTCACAGAGGACAATGGATAAGAAAGATAACTTCCAGAGCAACCAGGAGATGGCCTTAGCAAGAATCCTACTCAGCTACAGTTCAGAACAACTCTCTAGTCCAGCCCAGTATTGTAGGATATTTTATATGAATCACTACCTTCTGGGGTTTCTCATTTTTGTCTTTTCCAAATACTTGTTAGCAGTATGGTTTTACGATTCCATAACCATTGTGCATTGGGTGTGTCCCAGGAAGGTGACATGTCATTTAATTTAAAGGTGATTCAACAGGAGGAGCACATCTCTCAAATTTCTAGGGCTTGTAATTGAAGTCGAGCCCGGTTCAGAAATTTGGATTGTCTTTCTTGGGGAAGAGCAACCGTCTTCTACACTTGAGAAGAAGAGAGCGCATTGACATTTCTGTGACCAAAAAGATATATTATGATGAAAATTCTTTGCTCCCAAATGCCCATTCTTCCCTTGTCCGAGAGTAACAAATACTTAGATATTTTAATTGATATTTAGCTGAGAACACACTTGTCAGAATATAGACTTTATTCTCAAGTTTGTCACTCTTCCCAGGCTAATGATATGACAACACCTTGGCCAGTGACCTAGAAGAAATAGGTAATATAAACTTATCAGAACGTTAAACCTAAGGTTACCATATGAGCCAGAAATTCTATTCCTACCAAAGGGAATTAAAAAAATAAGCCCATCCCAAAACTAGTATATCATCGCTCACAGTAACATTATTCTTAATAGCCAAAAAGTGGAAGCAGTCTAAATGTCCATCAAATGAATCGATAAACAAAATGTGGGCACATCCATACAATGGAATATTATTTTGCAATTAAAAGGAATAAAGTACTGATACATGTTACAACAGAGATGAGCCTTGGAAACACGCTAAGGTAAAGACAAGTCACAAAAGGTAATACATTGTATGACTCCATTTATATGAAATACTCAAAATAGTCCAATCCATAGAAAATAAATGTAGATTAGTGGTTGCCCAGGATGGAGGAGAGGGGAAATTGGGAGTGATTGCCAACAGGTAGAAAAGAAGGCAGGAGGTTTCCTTTTGCGGTGGTGAAAGTTTTCTGGAATTAGTAGTGATGGCCGCACAACTCTGTGAATATACTAAAAACCAATGAACGGTACACTCTGAAATTTTTTTTGAGACTGAGTTTCAGTTTTGTTGCCCAGGCTGGAGTGCAATGGCATGATCTCGGCTCACTGCAACCTCCGCCTCCCCGATTCAACTGATTATCCTGCCTCAGCCTCCCGAGTAGCTGAGATTACAGACATGCGCCACCACACCCGGCTAATTTTGTATTTTTAGTAGAGACAGGGTTTCTCCATGTTAGTCAGGCTGGTCTCCAACTCCCAACCTCAGGTGATCCACCCGCCTCGACCTCCCAAAGTGCTGGGATTACAGGAGTGAGCCACAACACTAGGCGGTGAAATTTCTTAATGTGAATTTTACATTGTGTACATTTTACCTCTTTTTTTCAAAATAAAATCAGTGTCAATCCATTTAGGATGCTATAACAAAATAGCTTATTCTACGTAGCTTATAAGCAACAGAAATTCATTTCTCACAGTTGTGGAGGCTAAGTCCAAGATCAAGGCACCAGCAGATTTGGTATCTGCTCAGGGCTCATTTCCTAGTTATAGATGGTACCTTCTCACTGTGTCCTCACACGCTGGTAGGGTCGACTAGCACCCTGCTGCCTCTTTTATAAGGGCACTAATCCCAATCAGAAGGGTTCAGCTCTCATGGCCTAATGACCTCACCTTATAATACCTCACCCTGAGGGGTTTAAGGTTTCATCATATGAACTGGAGGTGGTGGGGAAACACAAACATTCACACCATAGCAACCAGCGATGTTCAAATCTTATAAAGAAGAAGTGTGTTCTCTCGTTCTCTTTCCTTCAGCTGCCTGGCAAGAATGCGGACATAATTGTAGTTAATTGTCTTGGATATGTAGATAAAAGCAACTCACTAACGAGGAATAAGATTGAAAACGTCTTGTCTCCTGGTACTAGAGAGTTAACCAAGAAGTCCTGGACAACATTCTCCTAGACAATCAGGTGAAAGATAATTAAAATGATTAAGTTCAATTTAGTTTAAGCCTTTGTTACCTAGAGTCTCTGTTACAACAGCCATATCTTTGTTGTAATTCAAGTAATACAAGAATTCAAGAACTTTCAAAATTGCTGGTAAATGATTTTTATTATCTTTTAATTTCTGTCCAGCCATCCCTATAGAGGTTGACATTGCAACTAGACAGTACTTCGAGAGGTGATGTGGTGCTGTGTCAGAGTGAATGAGGTTTATTGTTAGACAACCCTAGAACTGAACGTATTCAATTTACAACTGAGTTTTGTAAACTCACTCCCCATATATTACTTTGACTAATTTAACACCTCCACTCTAGCCACACTTTTCCCACTTGTAAAATAAAATTAACAGGAGTCTTAAGCCTAATATATAGCAAGGACCCAATAAATTGTAGATTTTTAGAAAGGGTACTCACACTTGGAATACTGCTTGAGATTTTAGTTTTACTTGTTATATGCAAGGTTTTCTCCAAGTAAATTGTTACTTTTATCTCTTTGTCTATGACTTTTAAATGCCCTATAGCTTTGCAGTTGTCAACCATACAATGAAACATCACTTCTGATTAATGTTCAATATTACTGATTATGAAATGAATAAGATAAGTCAACAGCTATGATTTGCTATGGCTAATAGTATCAGTAACTAAAGGATCAGGTAGAACAAATTAGAAATCTTTGTGATAAGCTATTTTTTAAAGCAAGTCAAATTAGATAATCTTTTGTAGACACCCTCTGGGGATAACAGTGTTCTTGAAAAGCTGTTATTCATGCCGATGGGACATGCAGAAACTAAATTGCAGTCTCTAGAAACCTGTGTCACTCAGCCTGATGCATGATGTCAAGTTGCAGTTGACAGACAGTGGGGAAAAAAAGTTAAATTACTGTCTGACAGTTTTAAATGAACTTTAAATGAACAATTCATCTCTCAAGCTCAATATGCTGTAGGCACTTACAAAATGAAACCTAAGAAAGTATTCTATAATCAGAATTTCCTTAGTATTTAATACCCTCAGATAATAAACACCTCAAATATTGCAATAAAGTATAAGGTTGGCATTATATGAAAAACAAATTTTTCAGACTGAATACTTATTACAGTTTTGTTAAACCAATGTATGTGTCTGCAAATTCTGAATTTAAAATTGGAATATCTATAGATTATTTTTGCAGAAGTATTACAAATTACAATAACTGCTACACTGAGTAAGGACAGAAAAAAAATACAGAAGGGTTCTCCATTTTCTCACTTCGTGAATAAAAACAAGGGTAGGTCCATGACTCTCCAGGTCATTCTCAGGTAATAAAAGTTCTTCCTGTCACTTTTGTCTCAAAACAATCAGTTCAGTAATTAGAATATTCAATCCAATGTAATAACAATTCTAGGTTCATTTAAACATATTTTTTTTTCATGAAGCCGAAAAAGAGGGCATGTTCAGCTTACTTCTCCTCGCCACTTCTTTCTCAGCTTTTAATAATTTTGGCTCGTCACCCTTCAGGGAAGGAGAGGTAAGAAGGAACAGACAGAAGCAACAAAAATGGTAGCCGTAACTTACTTAGCGCTAATCTACACTGATGCTCTCCAGGCCTGGAGGTCTTCCAAGTGGACACTCCCCTCATGGGAGATCCCTCATTTGAAGTTTCCTTGATCCAGGCACTTGCCTTGCTATTCCAGCTGCCACACTGTACATACCTGGACACCGCGTGTGGCACTTCTAATTTTTTTTCTGCTGAGGTTTTTTTTTTTTTTTTTTTTGAAATGCAGTTTCACTCTTGTTGCCCAGGCTGGAGTGCAGTGGTGCAATCTCAGTTCACAGCAACCTCTACCTCCCAACTTCAAGCGATTCTCCTGCCTCGGCCTCCCAAGTACCTGGGATTACAGGCATGCACCACCAAGCCTGGCTAATTTTGTTATTTTTAGTAGAGATGGGGTTTCTCCATGTTGGTCAGGCTGGTCTCGAACTCCCGACTTCAGGTGATCCACCCGCGTTGGCCTCCCAAAGTGCTGCGATTACAGGCATGAGCCACCGCGCCCGCCCAGAGGTTCTTTTGCTTCTCAAGATAGCCCTCTTAAAGAGAAATTAAGACAAGCCCACTCCATGCATTTCACATATATCACATCTATTATCAAATACATAGGAAAGACCAAAGCATCCTCTGTTCTGACAAGCTCTACATTAACAGGAAATTATTTTCCCTCTGTCATCAGAGAGACAAATGCAGATGCTTAGATTTCGGAAGCATCAGTCAGACATCACTTTACTGCACCTAGATCCAGAGGACACACATCGAACTCTGAGTGGCCTTTATTCCTTCCCTAGGCTTTAGGTGAAGGAACCTGAACTCAGCATATTGACAGAGCTCCCCAAAACCTTCTGTAAATCCCTATTCTTTTCTCAAAACTGTGTTACAGGCTATAAATCAATGACTGGCTATAACACAGCCAGTTTGGAAAACTCCTTTGCAAATTCTGCAGAGGGCTTCTGTACTTGGTTTTTAAATGCAGCAGTAATTGCCAAGAGACCTCAGCTGAAATCGAGAGTAAACAGCTGTGGTTCAAGATTTTTTTATGTAAATAATTTCTCTTTTTGCTTTTTTTTTTAAATTATTCCATCAATCCAATTTGCTTTCTTGCTTAGACTTTGAAGACTGAGAAATGTACACCTTGTTGGGTAGTTAGACGGTAGGACAGTATTGAGAAGTAGGACATGTATCAGTGGAAGGAGGCTTGACATCATTTTTGCTTCTTATGGAGACTATATCTAAATAGCTATCATAATCTTGATTAGTAACTGATCTTGATTAGTCTATTTAGAACACTATCACTTTAAAAAATTATCACCCAAAAACCCACCTTGAACTGGATGTGCTATATTTATTTTCCTTTGCACAGGCATTATCTTACGTTCCTCGTAATCTTTACAGAATAAAGCAGGTTTATTTTTCCAAGTTTAACTTTCTGCACTAACTCAGAAAGAATTAGCTGGCTTAATTTTCTGATAACCTTTTCAAGCAGACAGCTTCAAAACATCTAATAAACCAAATTCTATGCTGACACTTCTCTCCTTCCTGCAAAAGAAACAACTAAAATCTTGTTTTAAAGATATTTGGCTTTTATTAACCTCACTAAGCCTCGGTTTCACTCTCATATGGGTATAATAATGGTTCCATCTTAAAGATGTATTGTGAGGCTTAAAAGAAGCTATTATATATGGAAAGTGTTAGTCCCAGTAACCAGCCCATGAAGGAGTACTCAGTAAATATTAGTTCTTATTTTTATTATCAATATCCCATGTTTGACCATAATTTTGCCTTAATATTTCCATTTACAATTACTGAATAATATAAAATATTTAAAATCAGTTTGAAATGCAAGCCATGCAGAAGCTATACAATAGAAAAATATTGGAGACCCGGAACCTTAAGCTATTAATTCCCATTGAAGGTATATTTACTGCCCTCTAGTGGCTACTGACCTAATAACAGAACACGCGCTAAAGGAAATGTGTACAATTTTTTAAATTACAGTCTTTTAAAAAATATTATCAAACAACCTGTATTAACAATCAAAGGTGCCATAGTAACTAAACATAATTATATTCTCCCATTCCATTCTGAAAAACTAAATACCTCTACATTATAAAATGACAGTCATTAAAAATTCTTATGCTTATAAAAACATTTGGGGTATTTTAAAATTAAAGATTCAGGAGATTTTTTTCAAGACTGTGTAGTTTTTGCTATCATGTAAAGACTTTCCCAAATGATTTTTTAAAAATAAGTAGCATTAGATGTGTGACTTAAGAAAGCAGATTTCTTTACACATCTGTCCAGGTTACAGGGCTTCTTTGCAGAACCCATGACAATTTCACTTTTTATCATCATCACCATCTTTTCTGTGGTGCATATCAAACCTAGGAAGTTCAGCACTGTATTAAGTCACAGTGTTTCATTAAGATTTTAAGATTGATTTCAATATCCCGGCAAACTGCAGGTGTTTTAGGGTAAATCCATCAGATCTGGTAATTTTTAGTAAGAAACATTACAGGGAAATATGCAGTACAGTGTATATAAGAACTATTAACTTATTTTTAATAGAAAGCAACCTTAAAAGCGACTGAAGTTGAACAGCAAGAACAACCCAAGTTATTATAGAGAACTTTTTCTCATTAATCTAAATAAATCTCTATCATGAAATTTCTGATCACATCATTTCTATTATGGGTTTTAAATATTAATGCATAGTGTTTACTATTTGTATCAATGGAGATTTTACTGCTTTGGAGATGTTTTTTAAATGCTTTTATTCTGTTGGCATGGTTTAAATAAACACCTCCTTAAAGTTAGAAAACATTTATTACATAGCCTAGCTAAAATTTTATGACCTAATACCTTTTTACTTTTTTCCTTGTGCATAAAGAAGGCAGTTGTCATTCCTTTCTTAATGATATTTTCACACAGGTACCAGTGTTTGCTTTAATGACTCATCTCTCTTGTATTCAGGTTAAGTATAGGTAATCCTCAAATCTTTTTTTTTCTTCTTCTTCTTCTGAGACAAGGTCTCGTTTTGTCACCCAGGCTGGAGTGCAATGGCATGATCACAGCTCACTGCAGCCTCAACCTCCTGGGCTCAAGCAATCCTCCCACCTCAGCCTCCTGAGTAGCTGAGACTACAGGCATGGACCAGCATGCCTGGTTTGTTTGTTTATTGGTAGAGAGAAGGTCTCCCTTTGTTGCCCATACTGGGTCCCTCAACTCTTTAATGACAAATTTAAAGTGTATAGACATAAACCTGGTAAGTTTAAGCTCTTACACATTTATAAAACTGAAAATGATAAACAAAAATTGACACAACCCACATAACTGACTCACATTAACGAAATTTCACGGTGGTCACTAAATTGCTCGTTGTAACTCAAACATGACTGTTCTAGGGCAGGTTTCTTTGGAAGGCAGCTGGTCTACCCCACGTTGGTTGAATAAGGAGTCAATTCTTCCACCTTTCTTATTTTACTCAAAGGTCTGTGAAACTCTGTTTCATGTTTAAAACTCAACAACCCTCAGAACTGTGTTCACAGATAGATCCAATCATTTATCCATATTCAGGGTGTCTTATCTTCTTCTTTGAACTATTTTCTGACTTGCAGCATTCCCATCTGTAAGAATCTGATCAATGACGAATTAATTGCAAGGTTACCTCCGTGTATTCCAACCTGGATATCTATGCTGCAATGCCATGTTTATCTTCTTACTCAAATCCCAATATTGATAATGCAAGTTAACCATGTGTTATGACCATTTCCTGATATACATTTTGCCTGTGGCAGTTTTAAAATGTATCCATTATTTTTTTGTCATCTCATCCCACTAACAGGTGGTGTTGCCATATCCTTCTGATCTTTGAATCTGAACTGGCCTTGGTGGCTCAGTAGTAATGAACAGACATAAAGGAACAAAAGTGACACTGCGTGCCTTCAGAAGCTAGATCATTAAAAATAGCACTGCTTTTGCTCTGCCCACTGGAGCACTCAGGCTTGGACCCATGAGCCACCATAGTGGAACCACTCTGATATTGATATGCTGTGAAGAAACTCAATCCACTGAAGAAACCACAGGTAGGGGCTCTAGTTGAAAGGTCCAGTTGTTAAATTAACTCGCATTACCTCTTGTCCCTCAAAGCTGCCTTAAGGCTTATTTTGGAGTCACATTGCTAAGCCTTGGGTTTTTATGTCCTTAATTTGTTAATCAGTGTATTTTCTGAGATTTACCAGGAAATGCAGTTGACAGCACAGTTCCAATAATTATTGGAAGAACAAGGTCAGAAGTTCAAAAAGAAAAGGAAAGAAAAAGATAAAAAGAAAACAGAAAAGAAAAGAAAAAGAAGAAAAGAAAAAAGGAAATCTGGTACAAAACACGGGCCAAGGGTCTTTAGCATTCCCAGAGGGAAACTTGGACAGAAATTCAAACAAAAAAGCTTTTAAAAAGCTGACACTGTATTGTATACTTAGTTTAATGCTAAATATGTATCTTTATCTAGCAATAATTAAAGACTGAAGGAACATTTTTTGTTTGATACTTTTTGATATGCATTATTAGTCATTCACACTTCTATGTATTTAGCCACTCACCAAGGAAAGCTTCTTGTGAGAAGTGTTATACTTGAACAGCTATAAATTGGCTGAATTTTTTAAAAATGGAAATTGAAAGATAGCCATCCCACCTTCACATAGCAGTCTAAAACTGGATAAAGCATTATGCTATAAGTTTTATTTCATACTTAATAATAAAGTTGGAATGTGCAAATTATTGCTACCCTACAATTGTGATATAAAATATTCTGAACCACGTTTGACAGTCCAAGCTTTCTAAATTTCAAAAATTAACATTATAGGCACACTGACTTTCTTTTAGAGTCCAAAATTCCAAAAGGCAAGAATAACGTACAAATGCTTTTGAAGTCAGATAGATGCTGGTCAGGTATGATTAAAAACATTTTGCCTTTGTTTAATCAATTAATTTTTATATCATCCAAACACGCAAGCAAATCTTTAAGATATGTGATTGTTTGTTGCATTTATAAATTTGTGTTTGGCTCTAATCTGAAGGCGTTTGTAACAAATGTGTCTCCTAATAGAGTGGCTTTTCTTCTGGGGTGGATACAGTTCTCCAGTGGCACCAGAGACTTCAAGCACACTGCTGACAGACAAGAGGCTGTCAGTTTAACAGAGTCCTATCACATAGTAAATCAATACGTTAACCCACAGGCAACCCCTTAGCATGCAGGTGTGCAGGCTAGAACTTTCCAGCTTCTCTGGGTGTGTGTTAGTATGTTTAAGCATTAGTGTAGTATGTTGAGTTCTCTTTTCAATGTTTCTGCTTACTGTGATCATGATATCAGCATCAAAATTTCTAATATTTTGCTCTTAAGTATACAAACAAGTAAAACAAGCCAGCAAATCAACTCTTACTTAC
Source organism: Homo sapiens (assembly GCF_000001405.40). Lineage (NCBI taxonomy): Eukaryota > Metazoa > Chordata > Mammalia > Primates > Hominidae > Homo > Homo sapiens. The sequence goes on along the minus strand of NC_000008.11, from coordinate 13,724,363 downwards.
TTTGTGTTACCTGCATCCTACACCAATACTGGGTTAAGTACTTTCAATAAAGCTCAATCGATCATGAAAACCCCTGTTTTGCAGAAGAGGCTCACAGGGATCAAGTGATTTGTCCTTGATTATGTAACAATTATGTGAAGCAACAAAAAGGATTTGAACCTACCTCATCTGACCTCCTTGTCAGATTAAACCATAAAGTAATTTTAACATTCAGTAATGGACACAGTTTAATCTGTTTCAAGCACCAAAAATGTAACATAAAATTTACAAAGAATGTTTTATCAATAATGTATCTTATTTAAACATGAAACCCCCCTGGGTCCATGAACCCCAGGTTTATTTTTCTCTATAAAAATTCAGCACCTGAATTGTGGGCAGTATACCAGAAGTGGTCAATGATCTTAAGCAGCTTGCACCATGTCAGGTCCCAAAGCTCTAAAACTGCATACTTAAATATATATACTATGTACACATTGTTTGTGTATCTCTCACTCCATGTGAAAGAAACTCTGAAAATTAAAAAGGCTTTTTGCCCTAAGGGAGATGGAACACAGTGTGCCAAACCCCTCCTTGGGACAAAGGAAACGGGGGCGTGGCACCAATCACTGAAGGGGGCGGCACTGACGGCCACGTACAATCACAGACAGGGTGTCATCTCATCCCATCCTTCCCCGTCCCACCGTTACAGACGCAACAGCAGTTCTTACCATTGGGGGCTGGCGCATATGCACTTGGAAAAAGTGTTTTTCCTGCTTTCCACAGTGGCTCCACCCTCACTGAAAGTGAGCCCACGCTGCTTGGGCTTGCATGAGGGACAGGGCTCAGCATCTCCTCTCTACACAGAGCAGCTGTGTCCTAGCATCGAAGACAGACAAGACACAGAGTTGTCTGCTCTGAACTGGAGGAGACCCTGCATTCAGCCCGTTTGATGGAAGCCACCAAAGGGGCAAATCTGTGGTCCACCATACCACTGTGGCTGGAAACCATAGGACCAAGTTTATATGAACTGAAAGTTGTGAACCCTGCAACAAGGACATAATAAGGAAGTGGATCATGTTCCAGCCTGCACAGGAGAGGACCTCCTTCCCCTCCTCTCACGCAAAGACCTCAGTACATCCCAACAGAATCTCTTCCCATCACTCCTTGATCAAAGCAAGTGCTTCTTTGGGCAAAGAATACGAACTCACACTCCTCAAAAGAAATCCTACAAGCAACCAACGAACATGAAAAAATGTTCAACGTCACAAATCCAATAAATGCAAATTAAAACCATGAGATACCATCTCACACTAATTAGAATGGCTATTAAGAAGTCAGAACAGATAGTGGCAAGGATGCAGAGAAAAGGGAGCACTTATATGCTGCTAGTGGGAATATAATTAGTAAAATCCCTATGGGCAACAGTATGGAAATTTATCAAAGATCTAAAGACAGAACTACCATTCAACCTAGCAATCCCACCAATGGATATCTATCCAAAGGAAAAAAAATCATTTTATCATACACTAACCTACAATAGCTTGTTAACTGTTGCGCTATTCACACTAGCAAAGTCACGGAATCAACCTACATGTCCATCAATCGTGGGTTGGAAAAAGAAAATTTGGCATATATACACCATAGAATATTATGCAGCCATAAAAAAAGAATGAAATCATGTCCTTTGCAGCAACATGGATGCAGCTGGAAGCCATTATCCTAAGTGAAATAACACAAAAACATAAAATCAAATGCCACATGTTCCCACTTATAAGTGGGAGCTAAACAATGAGTACAGATGGACATAAAGATAGAAACAATATATATTGAGGACTGTCAAGCGGGGTAGGGTGAGTGCTAAAAACTACTTATTGGATACAATATTCACTATTTGGGTGATGCATTCACTAGAAGTAAACCCCAACATTACTAAACATACCCATGTAACCAACCTGCGCATCTACCCCCGAATCTGTGATAAAATAAAATATGTGTTTTTAATCAACTATGAGTGATGATAGATTAACAAATCTGATATGCTACTTAAATGTATTAAATGTATATATTCATTTTTAAATATGAATATGCAAGGAAAATCTATTTTGAAGTCATTGACAAGTTCTCCAAAGTTCATTCCTGAAAACAGAAATTGTAATGTCATTATTCATTATTATGACATATTAATATACAGGTATAAATTTTCAACATTTAAAGAAATGATTCATGTCTTTAAAAAGTATCAATCTGTAGCTTTTTCCTTTTTGTATTGCAATATGTATTTTTAAATTTTCATTTTTTAAAAATTTTACTGGCATGGTCATATATTCAAAGTACAAGAAAACAAAGTTTTTTCCCATCCAAGTACTACCCATGCCCAAACCTGCTTAGCTTCTGAGTGGAAGACAGCGTGGTGATTCCTCAAGGATCTAGAACCAGAAATACCATTTGACCCACCAATCCCATTACTGGGTATATACACAAAGGATTATAAACCAATCTACTATAAAGACACATGCACAACTATGTTTATTGCAGCACTACTTACAATAGCAAAGACTTGGAAACAAACCAAATGCCCATCAATGATAGACTCGATAAAGAAAATGTGGCACATATACACCATGGAATACTATGCAGCCATAAAGAAGAATGAGTTCCTGTCCTTTGCAGGAACATGGATGAAGCTAGAAACCATCATTCTCAGCAAACTAACACAGAAACAGAAAACCAAACACTGCATGTTCTCACTCATAAGTGGGAGCTGAACGATGAGAACACATGAACACAGGGATGGAAGCATCACACACTGGGGCCTGTTGGGGGGTGGGGGTCAAGGGGAGGGCGAGCATTAGGACAAATACGTAATGCATGCGCAGCTTAAAACCTAGATGACAGGTTGATAGGTGCAGCAAACCATCATGGCACACGTATACCTACATAACAAACCTGCGCGTTCTGCACATGTATCCCAGAACTTAAAGTAAAATAAAACACAAAAAACAGTTTTCACTATATGCATTTTTCAGGCCAAAATTAGTATTTCATTATTCTTATTGAAAATAATTGCGTCATTCCAGAGAAAATATCAAGACACCACTGCTCACACTACTGCTGTGAGGGATCTAAAGTGCATTTAACAAATTTATTTTCCATTTAATGAAAATAATATTTAACATTAAATTTTCTATTTAATGTAGTCAGAATAAATTTTGTTATTTGCAACTAAGAACCCTGATCTATTTGAAAGGATAATCAAAGGGAGTGGTTTAAAACATATTTCAAAGGCATAAAAGACACTCTACAGATGACTGCTCTAACAAAAGGAAGTAAATGACAAGATCTTAAAACTTACAATATTATGCCTCTAAAAATCAAAGTAAATACAACATTTCCTTAATATGTATTTTTAAATGATAGCAAATACTTCAGGGCTTACCTCTTGTAGATTTCTCTTTATATGGGATCCCTAGCCAACCAAATATTGATAATAGTGTTAAGTGTTTTGAGCTTCACATATATAGTATTTTAAAGACGATATTGAGTTCAGAACTAGGAATAAAGAATACTTTTTCTTTAAGGGGTTTACTATGTTATTTGGGTAGAAAGACATATGCATTAGGAAGGCAAGTGAAAATGAAAACTCAATAGGTCAAAGGCCAACGTGCAAGGATGATAGTATTGCTCTCGTTATAAGAAAATACTGAAGATTTTTTACATTATTATTAACTTTCCCATTGTTCGACATTCAGTGATACCATGAGGCAAAAGTTTCTATGAATTGTTTCATGTACAAATAATCACAATAACAACAACATCTAACATGAATCGACTGCTTCTATGTATGAGACACCCTTCTGAGCACTGTATGTGCTTTAACTTATGAAATTCTTATAAACTTAGGACTGGCTTTAAAGTCTAAAATATGAAAATCAATTAATGATTAAATACTGCCCCCAAACCATGACAGCATAATTTTTCAGGGGTAAATAATTTTTTCTAGTGCTTTTTAATATTGATAAAACATAAATCTATTTTTAAACAATGTGCTTTAAATGTATATCTCTTTAAGTTCATGTTTCCTGAGCACATTCCACATTTTCCCCTTTTGTGGCGTCATCAAAGCAACAGACCTGGTATTATGAACGGGCGCCACCACACACATAATCCTACATACCTGTGCAACATGGCATGCTTCCCTATGTATCTGGGTTATTCCCATTACTAGTGAAATTTTATGAACTATCATAAAACACACAAGATATGCACACCTTATAAACTACCTTATGTAGGAATGATCTGAAGTGCCATCTGCATTCACAAAATCCAAGGCGTTCTGAAAATCATTTTCATCAGGCGGAAGATAAGAGCTTGTTTACATAATTATTTTGACTTAATAGTTCATTTTTTCTCCAATATCAAGTATTCAATTAAGGAACCCGTAAACTTTAAATAGATGAATAAATGCATTGAATATCTTCTCAAAGAAATGCTTTTTTAAGACAATGCCTTTTGCACTCAATATTATTAACTTACTAACTTTTCTAACAGCTTTGTTCATTATGAATTTATTTGGTGTTAATATACGTGTCAGGTTTTCTGCAGGGCAGTGATAATAAGCAATAACAAAATGGCAAAATATATTTTTGAAGACACAAGCAAATTATAGCTTTAATAAAAACAATGTATCCATTTAATAGCCAACTAAAAGTGGAGATAATAAATGCTACAAGGCACAGAAGGCCATTTAGTCATTTGGAAATAACCAGAGAGAGAGCATGCAGTCCTTGAGTGTCTCTGCTCATTCCCAGAAGTCTGAGTTTAAAAGTAAAGTTGTATTATAGCTAAATATGTTCTTTAGCAATTCCTATGCCTCCTTCTGTAGCATTCCTCCTTTTTCCACACAAGTGCCAATTACCTTTGAACTCTGCTCTTCCTCCCAAAGCCTTGCACCACAAAAACAGCAGAGTGAATATGTATTCCTCCTCCATATAGAGTGCATTTTTTTTTTTTTGAGACAGAGTCTCGCTCTCTTGCCAAGGCTGGAGTGCAGTGGTGCAGTCTCAGCTCACTGCAACCTCTGCCTCCCGGCTTCAAGCGATTCTCCTGCCTCAGCCACCCAAGTAGCTGGAACTACAGGCGTGCACCACCACGCCCAGCTAATTTTTGTATTTTTACTAGAGACAAGGTTTCACCATGTTGGCCAGGGTGGTCTCAATCTCTTGACCTCGTGATCCGCCTGCCTCGGCCTCCCAAAGTGCTGGGATTACAAGTGTGAGCCACCACACCCAGTCTAAAGTGCATTTTTAAGTTATAAAAATATATCCATTGAGATTGTTCCAAACCTAAAATTATAACTCTTCAGACAAGGAGAAAATTTCTAAGAAAATTCTAAAAATTCTAAGATTGACATTTCAGGCAATAACAGTTAGGTTCCTACTTCTGCAGGTATCACCTTCACTTTGTAGATTTAACCAGCATCTGACTCGCACCATGGAAATACTAATTGCCTTGGAGTTTTCCTTCCCCACACACAACAGAATGATGGCTACTTCCAAAGAATTATTCCTCCCTCAACCCAAGCTCAATGCTTATTACTTTTAGACTCATATTACTCATATAACATCCTTTATCCTCCCTTGAACTATGGTCCATTCATTGAAAACTAATGTCTTTCTCTTTAGCTAATTTCCAGCAGCATCATCAGTGACTTCCATATACAAATTAACGACCAATATCTATTTCTGACTTCATAGTCCTGTTACTTCACTGCCTATTATTTTCAACTGTACTCCACTCAGTGATTTACTCACATAGTCACCCACTAGTTTTATCTTGCAAGTGAACTCTACCTCTGAGATCTAGACCTGGGCCACTGTGACCACAATTTACGTTTTTCCCAGTATTCTTTTATTTTTTTATTTTTATTTTTTGAGACAGAGTCTTGCTCTGTCACCCAGGCTGAAGTGCAGTGTTAGGGTCTTGGCTCACTGCAAACCTCCGCCTCCCAGGTTCAAGTGATTCTTCTGTCTCAGCCTCCCAAGTAGCTGGAATTACAGGCGCCCACCACCACATCCCACTATTTTTTTTGTATTCTTAGTGGAGACAGGGTTTCACCATGTTGGCTAGGCTGGTTTTAAACTCCTGAGCTCAAGTGATCTGCCTGTCTCAGCCTCCCAAAGTGCTAGAATTACAGCCTTGAGCTACCAGTATTCTTAATCAGTTATTCCCATGTTGTGGTATTTTATTTACCTAACAACCTCTTTTAGTCTACCTACTTCCTCTACCTTTAGCAGCCTTTATTTATCTTTACTTCTTTCCCTATACAACAGATTTCACACCCATCTCTTTAAGCTGTCTCTGATCAATTGCCTGTACTTCTGTGCCCCACTGGGCACCTGGCATTCCATTTCACAGAGGCCAATGCTGTTGAAATTTAGCTGCCTGTTTTCTGTCTACTTCAGCAATCTAAGAGCAACTAGAGAAAATTTTACTATCAGATGGACTTGTGCCTCTATAAGTTTATAGCCATTGACCTCACAAAAGGAACACTTCCCAGCAACTCTTATTTCCTATTTAGAATCTTTTTTAAAGTTCCAATCTTCATCACCTTCTCTTAGTCTCAAATTTTACCTTATTATGCTGAAAAATAGGCAAAATATCATAGAATAAATTCTTTAAGTTCTTGCAACAAATATACAAACCCATCGGCATCTGCATTTTTCTCTTCCTGTCTCCCCACTGTTAGAAGAGCTTACCTTTTTGTTTCCAAGCCTTCCATTTTGTGCTTGTGATCCTATTTCCATCAATTCCCCCTATACATAATCAATCACTCCTTAAAGGTTATTTTTCAACTATTCCTTCTCCTCTCTACCGGTACTTATCATTAGCATTTAAATATATTCAGTTCTTCCTCCAACTCAAAACAGAAAAGCAACCACGCACTCCCCATCTCTTTCCTCTTTTCATAATCAAAGTCCCCTAATGGTTTTCTTACGCTTTGTTTTTAATTCCTCACTGGTGATGCCTCTTTCTCCTGAATTCCCTAGTTCTATAATGCAAACAGCTTGCACTGATTCAAGAGAGCCAAGTGTGTGAGCCTCTTCCCAACTGCACTATGATGTAACACTGGCAGCTCAAAAATAAGTCATGATAGGAATGTTTATCTCATACAAACTAGCAAATGTTACACATCTACGAATCAGCTTTGTTTACCAGCACACTGCTCTTTATCTTCTTCCACCCATCCTGTAAATGTCATTTCACAGCATTCTAGATGTTAATACACACAGGCTAACTTTTCATTTTCTGAAATTCAACCATCATCTATGTACTAAGAATTCTCACATCTATATCACAAGCCTAAAACTCACTCCCTATAGGTCTAAACCCAAGTTTCCAATGTTTCCCTCCATTTAAATGTCTCTAGCACATGTTGAATACTGCATTTCCAAAACTGAACTTTTCTTTCACAAAACTCATCCTTTCTTTGTGCAATGTTTCAGTAACTGACACATTTAGTTGCTCAAGCAAGAAACCTTTGTATTATACTTGACTCTCTCATCTTCCTTCACTTGCCAGCATAGTCCACATTTCTCAAATCCACAAACTTTTATCCTCACCATTGCTGTCCTACAACCTTAAGGTAAAATCTAAATTATGTCCATAGCCTTCTAACTTGTGTCTTTGCCTCCAGTACTATTCCAGGTCAATTCATTATCCACACTACAGCAAGACTAGTATTTTAAAAATCATGTAACTCTCATGTTTAAGATGTTGCTAATTCAAAACCCTTTTGTAGTTCATAAAGCATCTTTTAATCTAGGTCCTGATTATTTTCCCAGGGTCCTCACTCTTTTCTAGCTCTAATTTATGCTACAGCTATTTCACTGCATTCTGTTCGATTTTGAGATGCTTCTGCTCTCTGTGGGGTCTTTATTTGTATCACTACTCTCCACCTCCAAAAGCCCTCTACTTCCCCTTGTGTCATTTGTCATTGCCCCCGATTTTTAATTCACTCATTGTTATTAATATTAAAGATAGGGTCTCACTATGTTGCCCAGGCTGGACTCAAACTCCTGGACTCAACTGCTCTTCCCGCCTCAGCCTCCCAAAGCACTAGGATTACAAGCATGAGCCACCACACCAGCCTATTTTTGCTCTCCAAAAAGGAAATCCCTTCAAAAAGTTTAAATTTTGAATTCCTTTCAAAATTAAGAGTGTGGATTTCTTTCAGATTTTGTATCAGATTTGTATTGTTCCTATAACAAATTTCCACAACACAAATTTGTTACCTTAGAGAGATGGAGGTCAGTAGCCTGACGAGGTCTCACTGGCCTAAAGTCAGTATCTACAGTACTGTGTTTCTTTCCATAGTCTCTAAGAGAGAACCCATTTCTTGGCCTTTTATAGATTCTAGAACCCAGCCACGTTCTTTGACTTGGGTTCCCCCTTCCTCCATTTTCAAAGCTAGCACAACCAGATAGTATCCTTCACACCTATCACGTGACCTTGCTTCTGCCGTCACATCTCCTTCTCAGACTCTGACTTTTATGCATCTTTCACTTTTAATGAGCTTGAGATTACACTGAATCACCTGAATAATCCAGGATAACCTCTCATTTTAAGCCTTTTCCTTAAAATATCTACAAGGTAACATATTTACATGTTCTCAGGATTACACTGTGCACACTTTCAGAGCCATTACCGTGCCTACTAGAGATCCTCAACTCTTCTCTTACCAAAGTTCTAGGTGTTCAGTGTACATTCATGAATATTCAATGATGTGTTTTCCCACATCACTCAAGATAAAACCCTGCAAACAGCTCTACATGTTTTTTAAGTACCTAGGGATATTAGCAGAGACTGAAAGTACCGCAATTCATCATTTTAAAGAGAAATATTTCTTCAGCAAACTTCTGTTTATGGCTTTATCTTTTATATTAAGATATATGGGCCCAATTATTCTTGAGCAACCTTACATTTTGTATTTCAAATGTTCAGTGTCATGATACTAACTGTACTTACTATTTGAAATTATGATCAATGAATTTAGGCCAAAAAATTTTAACTCCCAAATTTAAATATGTTAATTAGGATGTGGGAATTTTTTTTCAAGGGCATAGTAGACCCACCTTCTCCAGCAAACCATAAATGATATGAAGAAATTGAATATCATTATGAAAACAAAGTTCTTTTGTATTATACTTCGTTAGTTACCAGTATATTATAATGTGAAGACCAAAAATACCTTTAGGACATAATACAAAAATACATCCAGGTCCTCAATAAAAGTTAGCCTAATCTGAAAACATGCTAAGTACATAAAGTTCTGAATTTATAGGAAAATGTGATGCAAGTAAATAACACTTTTGCTCCTGGTAATGTTTCATGATACAAATATCTTTAACTTAGAAAAGAAATGCCCAAGAGATATCAACAATGGCATTCTTATATCTACCCATAGTATCTCACTGTCTGAAAATGATATAGGCTGTTATGGTTATAACTAGATTCAAACCTGAGTCCTCAATGGGACAATTTCTATCACTAGAAAAATAAAATACATAAACATTTAGAGACAAAAATTTATCACTGATAAGGGAATACGCAAAGAAAACAGTTCCCCTCTTCTTGGTTTCATAACCCATAATCTTCTAAAATGGATTTTGCAAACTACTGTAATGTGTGAGGTTTTGTATAATCCATATAGGGCCTGAGCAGGATGGCTGCTAGAAAAAGTTCTGCCCTCAAAATATGTTTTCCTTTGGTCAGCTGACCAATGCCAGTTCTCTTCCACTTTAATTAGTAATTTATTTTTTGAAATATAGAATTTCTAGGCCGGGCGCAGTGGCTCACACCTGTAATCTCAGCACTTTGGGAGGCCGAGACAGGCGGATCACCTGAGGTCAGCAGTTTGAGGACAGCTTGGCCAACATGGTGAAACCCCGTCTCCACAAAAATACAAAAATTAGCCACGCGTGGTGGCGGACACCTGTAATCCCAGCTACTCAGGAAGCTGAGGCAGGAGAATCGCTTGAACCTGGGCGGCAGAGGTTGCAGTGAGCCGAGATCATACCATTGCACTCCAGCCTGGGCAACAGGAGTGATACTCTGTCTCAAAAAAAAAAAAAAGAAATACAGAATTTCTAAATGCCTTCTTTATCAAAATGGAGTAACACAATAACCACTCTTGCCTTGATTTATTTATTTTCCTGTTAATACTTAGCTCTCTAGGAAGGCATGCAAGGGACAATGAGATTTTCTAAGAATGAAAAGTTGGAGAGGGCAGTGAAGGGAGAGCTGGGCGATGAGGCTACCAAGTGAGGTCCTGGATACTTCAAGGGCACAGAAATTTCAGAAAGGAAGGTGAAGACAGCTTGCCTACTTTGCAGTTTTACCTAGAGCTAGCCATGCCAGAGACCATTGTATTTGCTTTACTTTATTAACACAGGGTATTAAAAACAGAGAATCTGGCCTGGATAGATCTCTTTAGATCAGGTTCCTTCCAATGGGACCCAGTACAGCTAGAGCAGCCACACCCATAGTAAGTCAGAATGATGTTCCACAGGGTGGAGTCTGCTCAGGGCTGCCCCATCTGTGCTTGCCCGGATTGGTCAGAGAACTCAAGAAATTTCCTCTGATCATCTTTTACAATTGACAAATTTTAATCTGCTTACTGTGACTCAATAATGAAGCTACTGATCTTATAATTCTAATATTTCAATGGTACTTTCTAGACAATATTAAAAAATTAATATAAGATTACATTTTAGTGATTTTTCAAAATCAGGATCCAAATGTTCATACATAAGATTCTTACGTTCGTGCTGTCTTCTATATTAGAAACTCCTAAATTTGATTAAAGAGCAGTTATAGGCAGCTATATTTTAATAGAAATGTGTATTAAAATGCTCTAGTGACTTCAATATGTATGGAATTCTAAAAATGCTTTTATGTTTTCTTCGCCTAGAAGGAAGTACTTCAACAGTTACTCTTGAATGTCACTAAAATGTCTTTAAAGTTTATTTCAACACTCCTCAGCCTCAAAAAAAAAAAGACTTTTAAAACAGCTTGGAAAAAATATATAGTTTGGAAAAAGTTGTATGATACTGAAATGAAGAACGGTAGCTATGAAATATTTACAAACTTGATGCATGCTTTTTTTCATATTGCCTCAAGGCAGACGTGGTGCTTCAAACAAATAGAGTCTGGAGGTAATCTGAGTGGGGTGACTAAGTTATTGTCCTTCTTAAGAAAAGTGAATAAATTTACATCACTGTAAAATATTCAGCTTTATTCCAATGACTATCTTTCATATTCCCTTATCAATGATAAATTTTATTTCTAAGTGTTTGTGTTGTCTATATATTTTTCTTTTCCGGCGATAGAAACTGTCCCAATGAGAACTCAACTTTGAATCTAGCTTAACTATGACAGCCTACATCAGCTACAGACAGTGAAATACAACAGGTAGATATAAGAATGCCAGTGTTGATATCTCTTGGGTAGGCCTTTCTTTTTCTTAAGTTAAATGTATTTGTATTATGAAATATTACAAACAAAAATGTTATACAATGGACACCCATATGCACACATTCAAAAGGTTACTAAATCTCATGCATTGCTTTAATTATTTCATACTTTTATTTAAGTTATATAATGGAGGAAGAGAGTAGAATAGCGGTTAGCAAGGCTGGCAAGGATAGTAGGATGGTTGGATGGAGAGAGGTTGGTTAATAAGCACAAAAATACAGTTAGATAGGAGTAATATATTACAGTGTTTGATAGCATAGTCTGATGTACATAGTTAACAATTTTTTCTGCTTTTTATCTTTAAAGGTGCAAATTTTAGGATAAATTACCTAAATAAAGGCATCACCTCTGTACTTAAAACTGGACTGCATAATATTCACTTAAATAGTCACACAGCTGAGAAATCTGTAGTATTATCAAGATGTGTTTCAAGATTCAGGAAATGATAAAGTAAAAATGCAAATCTCAAGTTACAAGAAAATATTATGGACTGTAAAAATGTGCAGTGTTAACACTTTCACTTCATTGTTTCAATCCATCTGTAAAATGACAATATTAAATTTTGGTAAATTTAGTATTTAACAAAATTGTTTTATAAAAACAAGAAAGCTCCACAATTTTTGACTCCATTTGATGAGAATAGCTTGAGGGCTTTATTTTTTTACTGAATCTTGCAGTTTCTAGTTTGTGATTTTTCCTCATGTTATAAAACACTAATGATTTTTACAAGCACTATTTCAAAAACTATAAAGTTCTCTATTATTTAAAAAGCTTAAGTGTCTGAATTTCCAATTACATAGCTATCTCAGTTATTACATGAGATGTTTCTAAGTAAAATCATGACGGAAACAAGTTGAGAATTAACCGTATGATTCCAGCATGGCCTGATGGCAACATCTGATACAAAGTGTTGAGAGCAAAGTATTTGAATGGATAGCATTCTTTAAGTCTCCCCATATAGAATTATATCCCCTTGTTTCTAAAATAATGTTTGGAATTAATGAGGTATAAGTGTGTACATATCTTCCAGAGATTGAAAAGGATGCTTAATGGCAAACTTTCAAATACTATAACTCCAACACTATGACTCCAACACCCTAATTTCAGAACTGGACACATCATGAAGACAGAAAATCAACAAAGTAACATTGGACTGAATCTGCACTATAGACCAAATGGACCTCATTCATATTTACAGAACATTTCATCCCATGGCTGCAGACTACACATTCTTGTCCAGACCACATGTTTCATTCCCAAGGATAGACTATACGTTACGCCACAAATCAAGTCTTTAAAAAAGTCAAAATTATTGAAATTATATCAAATGCCTTCTCTAACCGCAATGGAATAAAACTATAAATAACAAGAAGAATTTTGGAAACTAAAACACATGGAAATTAAAAAATATGCTCCTGAACATCCACTGGGTCAATGAAGAAATTAAGGAATGTTAAAAATTTGTTGAAACAAATGCTGATGGAAACACAACTTACTAAAACCTATGGAATACAATGAAAGCAGTACTAAGAGGAAAGCTTACAGCTATAAGCATCTACATCAAGAAAATAGAAAAACCTCAAATAACCTACCAATGAATTTTTAAAAACTAGAAAAACAAGACCAAACGAAATCCTAAATTAGCAGAAGAAAGGAAATAAAAGATCAGAGCAGAAATAGATGAAATTGAAATAAAGAAATAAGAAAGATCAATGAAACTAAAAGTAGGTTTTTCAAAAAGATTTATGTAAGCAACAAACATTTAGCCAGACTGAGAAAAAAGAGAGAAGATCCAAATGAATAAAATCAGAGATGAAAAAAGAAACATTACAACTCATACTGCAGAAATTCAAAGGATCATTAGAGGCTATCATAATGAACAATAAAGTGGAAAACCCAGGAGAAATCCATAAATTCCTAGAAACACGTAACATACCAAGATTGAATCATGAAGAAATCTAAATCCTGAATAGAACAATAACAAGTAATGACATTAAAGACTTATTGAAAAGTATTTCAGCAAATAAAAGCCCAGGATCTGATGGCTTCTATGCTACATTTTACCCAACATTTAAAGAAGAACTAATATCATTTCTATTCAAACTATTTTGAAATATGGAGTAGGAGGGAATGCTTCCAGATTTATCCTACAGGGCCAATATTACCCTGATACCAAAACCAAGCAAAGACACATCAAAATAAATAAATGAGAAAACTACGCATCGATATCCCTGATGAAAACTGATGCAGAACTTAAAATATTAGCAAAACAAATTTCAACAACACATTGAAAACATCATTCATCATGACCAAGTGAGATTTATGCCAGGAATGCAAGGATGGTTCAAGAGACACAATCAACGTGACACATCATATCAACAGAAAGAAGGACAAAAAACATGATCATTTCAATTGATGTTGAAAAGCATTTGAAAAAATACCACACTTTTTTGTGATTAAAAACCCTAAAAGACTTGGGTATATAAAAAACATACCACATCACAATAAAAGCCATATATAACAGACCCACAACTAATATCATACTGAATGGGAAAAAACTGAAAGTCTTTCCTCTAAGGTCTGGAACACGAAAGAATGTCCACTTTCACCACTGTTATTCAACATTGGACCTGAAATCCTAGCTAAAGCAATCAGATAAGAGAAAGACATAAAGGGCATCTAGGTTAGAAAGGAAGAAGTCAAATTGTCTTTCTTTCCAAGTGAAATAATCTTATATTTAGAAAAACTTAAGACACTACCAAAAAGGCTCTTAGAACTTAAATTCAGAGAAGTTGCAGGATATAAAATCAACAAACAAAAATCAGCAACACTTCTTTATGACAACAGCAAACCATTTGAAAAAGAAATCAACAAAGCAATCCCATTTATAACAGCTACAAATAAAATATCTATGAATTAGCCAAACAAGAAAGATTTCTACAATAAAAACTATAAAATACTGATGCAGTAAGTTGAAGAGGACACAAAAAATGGAAAGATATTCTATATTCATGGATTGTAAGAATCAATATTGCTAAAATGCCCCTGTTACCTAAAGCGAAGTACAGATTAAATGCAATCTCTATCACCATACCAATGACAGTCTTCACGGGAGAAAAAAAAGTCTTAAAATTTGTATGGTACCATAAAAGACCCAGAATAGCCAAAGTCATCCTGAGCAAAAAGAACAAAACTAGAAGAATCACGTTACCTGACCTCACATTGTATTACAGAGCTATAGTAACCAAACAGCATGGCACTAAAATAAAAAACCCATAGACCAATGGAATAGAGACTCCAGAAACAAACTCATACATCTACAGTGAACTCATTTCTGACAAGGTGCCAAGAACATACATTGGGGAAAGGACAGTCTCTACAATAAATGGTGCTGGGAAAACTGGATATCCATATGCAGAAGAAAGAAACTAGACTCCTATCTCTCACCATATACAAAAGTCAAATCAAAATGTATCAGACTTAAATCTAAGACTTCCAACTATAAAATACTAAAAGAAAACATTAAGAAAACTCTCTAGCACATCAGATTGGGCAAAGATTTCTTTAGTACCCTGTAAGCTCAAGTAACCAAATCAAAAATGGACAAATGGAATCACATAAAGTTATAAAGCTTCTACACAGCAAAGGAAACAATCGACAAAGTTAACAGGCAACCCACAGAATGGGAGAAAATATTTGCAAACTACCAATCTGACAAACGATTAATAACCAGGATATATAAGGAGATCAAACAATTCTATAGGAAAATACCTAACAAGCCAATTTGAAATGGACAAAAATCTGAATAGACATTTCTTTAAAGACATGTAAGTAGCAAAGAGGAATATGAAAATGTCCTCAATATCATTGATAATCAGAGTAATGCTAATTGAAAACATAATGAGATATCATTTCACCCCAGTTATAATGGCTTTTATTCAAAAGACAAGCAATGCTGGTGAGGATGTGGAGAAAAGGGAACCCCATACACTGCTGGCAGATAATGCAAAATTTTAATGCAAAATTTAATGAAAAAAAGTGAGTACATAGTGAATGAAGAAGAACAAAAACAAATAAATGAATGAAGGAGTAAATGAATTAACAAGTGAAGCAATTTTAGAAAAGCATGTTAACATAACAGATTAGCAAGCGACACTTCCCTCAGGCCTCTTATCCAGTAATATGAGCCCCACTTAACAGGGAGCCCACATACATACATACACAAACATATATGCAGTACGTATGCACATTTATAAAACCCACCTAGACCAGATTACCCATAACTAAGGAGACCATATATTCCGGTTTGCCTGAGACAGTTCTGGTTTATGCCTGTCGACCTAGTGAAATTACTAACAGCGTCCCTTTCTCAATACTCCCAGTTTAGCCAATAAAACATACGGTGATATTTCTACCCCAAACCAACATGGTTTATGAAAGACATGATGGTAAATGCCCACATGAGCCTATAAGACAACCCTAATAATGCCAACAAACAATGACAAAGGAAAATAAAAGGGTAAATGAGATCCTACAGACAGGGTCACATTCCATGAAGGGTATCTTGTTAAACAAAGGCAAGTTTTAAGCTCACCTTGTACACCAAGGATTAATTTGTCCTCAGCTAAAGATGACAAAATTCCAAACACAAACAGCAGGGGAAGAGGTGAGGCTTGCTAGAGCTAATGGCACCTGGGAAGGCAGCTCAGACCCTAGAAAATACAAGTCTGTGAAGACTCTCCAAAGACGCTGGGAAGGCTTAGGCCCACAGGCAGGCAAGCAGTCACATTTATGGCCTTCCAGTGTGTCTGGGGTGCAACCCATAGGCTGCAGTGGACAAGTGGCAAATCTGCCCACTGCAGAGTCCCAGATTGGCCCCTAAACCAGGATTTCTTATTTCTTGTACAGCCAGTGAACCTGCTGGGTCATCATGGCTCGTATTCAGAAATACATTAGCTGAAAGAGGCCATATTAAAGGTCATACTTTGACCCAACTGAATACACTTTCAGACATGCCCTAGAGATGAGCCACCTGCAGCCTATATTTGCCTTAGATATGCCAGTTTTCCTTTGTAGATACCCACATTGAAGCATCAGTTTTCAGATGCAACCAGAGTTGGACTTTTTGTGAAGCTAATGAAGCTTAATCTTCAGGGCCATTTCCAAGACCCTATACCTAGTTTTATATTCATATTCTTTTTATTAAAACATCTTTCTAAACAGTTGAGGCTTCCACCCACAAAATCTGGATCCACCCCTGGCCATGGCATAAACACTTGGAGAATTGTCACTAGAATCTGCCCTACTCCTGGTATGTGGAGGACCTCACATGTAAAGGCTGAGTTTTCCTGGCTGTGCCTCAGTGGACACAAACAGCTTACCCAGCTGCCTCTCCCTGAGCAGAACATCATCTCAGGGAGGTAGAAGGAAGCCAGGACTCGGTGCTGGAAATGAATAAAGCCAGCCAGGAAGAAAGGGGGAAGTGGTAATGGGAAGGAAGAAAGAAGACATGAAAAGCAAGCTATTTAGCAGTCAATTAACACAGCTTCCTAATGCTGTTAGGCAGTATGCTAGACTGCAAGCCCCTTGACGGGAGTGCGGTGCATTACTATGGGTAGTTCCAAGGCCCAGCATAGTGCTTCATCAACATTAAACGATACCCTTCCTTTCATCTGGTCATTTTTAATCCCCCATTTTACCAGGCAATATTCTCAATGTTCACATTCTCAGAGGCTTATAAACCAACAGAAGCATAGGAGGATCAATGCTGCTAGTGCTTCCTTAAATGTTCCCCTTTAGAGTGCAGCTGAAGGGGAAAAGCTCCTTTGCTGCTCATTTTTTCTGAAATCATCCATATACATCAGACACCTTCATCTCTTCACCCTGTGACCCAGCCAGGAAAGCAGCAGCAAGGACTTTGCAGTAACAACCTGTTCCGCACTGAGCGCTCTTTCCATTCGGAATATGCAGGGTTGGCTTGGAAGTCTTTGGTTTTTTTTTTGTTTTGTTTTGTTTTTTTCTTTTTTCCTATTCCCCACGATAGAGTCTCACTCTGTCACCCAGGCTGGAGTGCAGTGGCGCAGTCTCAGCTCACTACAATCTCCACCTCCCAGGTTCAAGCAATTCTTGGGCCTCCGTCTCCGGAGGAGCTGGGATTACAGGCATGCACCACCACACCCAACCAATTTATGCATTTCTATTAGAGAGGGGGTTTCGCCATGTTGGCAAAGCTGGTCTGAAACCCCTGGCCTCAAGTGATCCGCCTGCCTTAGCCTCCCAAAGTGCCAGGATTACAGGCGTGAGCCACTGCGCCCAGCCTGCTTGGCATACCATCTTAATTGGAGTCAAGCACTTAACATAGACACATGGAATTGGTCCCTTTTTACAGGTAGCACCTCTGGGGCACAGACTGCTTCAGGGCTGCTATTCTATTTACATTCATAGTAAAAACAGTAGACATGGGTTTGTTCATGTTCTACTTCCATCAGTAAAGAAATGTAAAATGCACACGCCTGTGTTCCCAGCTCCTTAGGTGAATGAGATGGGAGGATCCTTTGAGCCCAGGAGGTGGAGGTTGCAGTGAGCCATCATCCCACCACTGCAGTCCAGCTTGGGCATATAGTGAGATCTTATCTAAAGAAAAAAAAATCCAAACACTGTCATTATGGGAAGTTTATACCCACCTCTCACTCTCTATTATAGGGATGCTTTATACATTAGAAAAGTTTAGTGATTTTTTTTACTTTTTAAAAATCAGTGAATATGTGTTACTTATGAAAATAATAGGACAGGATATTATTTCTCTTTACACTGATGCCTAAATAAAAATTTAGATGTGTTTCAGAGTTTAAAGTTGTTATTAAAATTGAGCTCTAGGTAGGTTTGGGAAATTAAAATGAGTAACTATGAACACATTTTGCAGCAAGTCCACTAGACCAGCAGCTGCACCTATGGCACCACATGAGCTGCTGTGGCCACATTGGGGAGTTAGGCTGAGTATCATGGGCTGGGGTCTTTGCTAGACTCACACCTAACTCCTCCATGAAGCACTAGTGACACTGTAAATGGGAGAACAAACACTGGTTCTGAAGAAGAAACCTCATCAGTTTTGCATTCCAGCATTTATGGCTTTTATGTGTTTGCATAGAGGGGGGTGACCCGCCAGGCCCAGGGAAACCTGGACCTGGGGTGGGGTAGAGGAAAGCAAGGCTGTTAAACACTGGAATCTGTACCAGCTCCCAGTCTGTCCTCACACCGTGTTATGAGAGAAGAGTCACAAGGTGTAACTCAAGCAACTGAACACATGAAAGTCTAAAGTCCACTCTTGACATGTAAGTGCACATGTGTTGATTCTTGTCCTTGCCTGCCACAGGGGCTGCTGCAAGGTGAAACTGCAAAGCCTGCGACTGCAATGCCTCTACCGCGGCCTTCAGTCAGCTGAAAGCATTGGTCTCCTCCTCCAGTTCCTAGTGGTTTTCCACCACCTTGCACTTCTCCCTCCTGGTGGACCCGCTTCAGGTGCTCAAACTCCTCGTGGAGCTCCCTTTCCTTCTCTTTCAGCTCCAGCTCTGTGGGGAGGAGTGGTGTCGGGGAAGGGGGTGTTCAAAAAGGATAAAAAGCAAATAAATAAATAATGAAAGTGAGAATTTTCATTATTCTGAAAAAGAAATAAATTCCATCAGTTTTGCATTCCAGCATTCATGGCTTTTACGTGTTTGCATACAGAGAGGTGGCTCACCAGGCCCGGGGAAGCCTGGACCTGGGGTGGGGTTGGGGAAAGCAAGGGTGTTAAACACCGGAGTCTCTACCAGCTCCCAGTTTGTGAATTTTCATTAAAATAAATATTGAAAATGAGAATTTTCCTTATTTATTTGACCACAAATCACAGACAGCAAGAATGCCCAGAAAAGAAGTGGCTATTAGATACCCACGTAGAAAGATGGAAACAAAAACAGAGCAATAGTGAGATATCCATATTACACGGATGGCAGGCAATCAGCAAATGACCTCCAGGAGAGATCTTGTTCAGGAACTATGCTGTCCCACAGGAATAGAGACAGGGCTCATGAAATACCCAAACTTTATACAAGTGAGCTCCTTCCTGTGGCTCATGGAACAAATAATTCTCTTTATTATTATCTACAAAAGAGAGTAATTTAGCAACAGCCAGCACTGCACAGCATTCAGCCAGAAACAGTGACGCCCATAAGTGTTTCAAAATGCTGCATGCTTCTCCTCTGAATTTCCTCCTGTGGGCACCTTTCCTCTCCAAGATTAAGGATTATTGTAAGCCAAGAAGAGTCACAGTGGTACACTTAAGACCTAGTTGGCAGGTGGTGAGACTACAGAAACAAATTGAACCAGCTTGAGACTGTGTTGAGACTCTTTAACAATATACCCATTATATAACCACCATGGGAATGTATACCTCCAGGTAACCATAGCTATTTATTCAGAGGTAGAACAAGTCATAGTTGAAAATCACTGCTAAACATCTATATCTTCCTGGAGCAAAAATTTTAAGAATTTTGAAGAAAATATTGAACTATTTAATAGTGATAAAACACCAAATATTACTGCAGGTGCTTTCAAGTTTGGCCTCAACTCTCTCTTTCCCTTTGGATTTTATCTGCTTCTTCTCTGATAAAAGAATTCTTCAGTGAAAAAGTCTGGGCCAGGTGCTGTGGCTCCTGTAATCCCAACACTTTGGGAGGCCAAAGCGGGCGGATCACAAGGTCAAGAGATCAAGTCTATCCTGGTGAACACGGTAAAACCCCATCTCTAAAAAAATACAAAAATTAGCTGAGCGTGGTGGTGCGTGCCTATAATCCCAGCTACTCGGGAGGCTGAGGCAGAGAATAGCTTGAACCTGGGAGGCGGAGGTTGCAGTGAGCTGAGATCGTGCCACTGCATTCCAGCCTGGTGACAGAGTGAGACTATCTCAAAAAAAAAAAAAAAAAAAGGAAGTCTGAAAAATGACATTACATAGTAACAAATTTTGAGTCTTTAGAGTATTCTTAGTTGTCAGAAAAAATCATTTTCAAAGTAGATGATCGTGATGAGGTATACCATAAAATAAACCTTGAGACTGTAAATATTTATATACATATGAAACATTTATATAAATATGAAGCAGCATTTTATAATTTTATGTGAAAAGTTACATCTTTTACCTTCCTCATTTAGGTAAAAGCCTAATAAAATGTAATCTGTATCAATGCAAGATCAGTTAAGAGACAGAAACCATACCAGTAATCCAAAGTGTAAAAACAGAATATGAGGAAATATGAATTCACAACAGGGGATTAGCCAATAAGAGCAAAGGGAATCTAAAAAATATAGCTGAGGCGGGTGGATCACCTGAGGTCAGGAGTTTGAGACCAGCCTGACCAACAAGGTGAAACACCATCTCTACCAAGAATATAAAAATTAGCTGGGTTTGGTGATGGGCACCTGTAATCCCAGCTACTTAGGAGGCTGAGGCGGGAGAATCACTTGAATCTGGGAGGCGGAGGTTGCAGTGAGCCGAGATTGCACCATTGCACTCCAGCCTGGGTGACAGAGCAAGACTCCATCTCAAAAAAAAAAAAATCATACAACTAGCAGATATAAGTGGCAGCCACTACCTCTAGGGCTAGAGAAAAGTATCCAAAGAAGAGATGATCTTAAAAGACGACCCTGGTAAAGCTGATATTTTGAACTGGTTAGAGAAGGTGCAGTTGTCACCCACAGGATGTCTGAGAATCCCACTGAAATGATGCACACCAAGCCTGGAAAACAGGAACCTGCCCCCCAAAATTCCAATGACACTCACTGTGAAACCAACAGCTTCACCAGACTCACCAGCTAGGGGACATTGAAACTTACTGGGAAGCTACTTCTGGGATGAGAAATCTCACTAGAAAGCTCCCTCTGTGGTGCTGGCAAAACTCACTAAGAAGCCACTCATTAGGGTACACACTACTGGTGACCCTCACCAATGACAGCTCAGCTGCATGTCACTGAAGCAAAAGAGAAAATCAGGACACCAGATTCAGAAAGAGAAAAACTCTTCCAGATCCCTCTACTACAAAGCTTAGCAGTATAGCATACTAACTATTAAAGGAGAAATGTTTACAGGGTCCAGCTCCAGTACTACAAAGTAGGGCAGAAAAGGATAGTTCAGGCATGAGAAGCAATATAGTGATAACAAGCACAATGTGCTTCCAAACAACTTGAGTTATTCTCTAGCCATAAGGAAATACCAGCATTCGTCTAGAAACTCTGCATACCCTTCTATCATTTGCATATACGTTTCTGTGTGTGTGTGTGTGTGTGTGTGTGTGTAATTAACATCAGGAGTGTAAGCTTCTGGTAAACTCATTTCTTGGAGGAAGTTGCATGCCAATAAATTGAAGGGGACAGTATAGGAGCTTTGATAAAAATTTATTAAAATTGAGGTAAAAGGATGACTACATGCTGTTTTTATGTGATCCTGGAGCACCTTTTAGCAAGTCCACTTAAGAGTCATCTACATCTCTAGCAAAATCATTCTATGTACTATTAATTTTATTTCATTAAATTAGAGCTCAGACTATACAATTAGACATTTAATTGAGAAAAGAATAAAAGTGATTCTTGTCTAATAGATATGAGTATGGTAAAAAAGATAAACTCAAAACTTTATGGTTTTATTATCCTGCATAAGATATTATACCAGTGTGGCATGTAACTAAGCAAACTGATTCTAGCCTATTTTATTTATCTCTATATCTCATATTAAATATTTTTATGGGAATATTTTTTAACATATTCAGAATTTCACTTTGACAGAAATAAGGCAAAATATGCTTATTATTTTTGGTAATGGTTTTATTGAGTGTAATACAAATACTACTTTTGAATGTAATATGAATACTACTTATTGAGTGTAATACAAATACCCATTTGAGGGGTACAATTCACAGGTGTTTAGTATATTCACTAGCTTGTGCAAACCATGAGTTAATTCCAGAACATTTCAGTTACCTCAAACAGAAACCCTGCAACATTCGGCTGTCACCTTTCAACATTCGTATTCCCTCCCCATGTCTTGGCAAACAGTAATCTACTCTGCTTCTAGAGATTTGCCTATTTTGGACGTTTCATATAAATGGGATCACACAATATACAATACATGGCCTTTTATAACTGGCTTATTTCATTTAGTATATTTTCATGTATCAGTACTTCATTACTGTTATGGCTCAATAATATTCCATTGTATGGATATAAAATACTCTGTTTATCCATTTGTTAGTAGATATTTGGGTTGTTTCTGCCATTTGGCTATGAGAAATCATACTGCCATAAACAGCAATGTTCAACCTTTTATATGAACATATGTTTTCATTTCTTATAAGTAAATGTGCAAGAATTAAATTGTTTAGTCAAATGGTAAGTGGACACATTTTTGAGGAACCAGCAGACTGTTTTCCAAAGTGGCTGCACCCTTTCCCATTCCCAAAAGAAGCATTGTATAAGGGTTCTGACTTCCCAGTATCTTTACTCAAACTGGTTATTATCCACCTTTTTATGGTAACCATCCTAGTGGATGTGAAGTATATCTTACTGTAATATTATTTGCATTTCTCTGATGACAAATGACATTTAGCATCTCTCATATGCTTACGGGTATTTGTGTATGTTCTTTGGAGACATTTCTATTTCAGGTCCTGTTACATTTTTAGTTGGATTAGTTGTCTATTGTTGAGCTGCAAACATTACTCATGTATTCTAGATAAAAATCATTTATCAAATACATGATTTACAAATTTTTCTCCCCACTTTGTGGCTATCTTTTTACTTTATTGATAGTGTTCTTTGAAGCACAAAGGTTTTTGTATTTTGATTAAGCCTGATTTATCCAATTTGTTTATTTTTGTGCTTTTGAGATCATACAAAAAACACTGACAAATCCAAAAGCATGAAAGGTTTACATATATTTCTTCTAAGAGTGTTATAATTTTAGCTCTTACATTTAGGTTTTTAATCCATCTTAATCTTTATGTATGGTGTGAGGGTGGGACAGATGATGATTCAAAAGAAAATATGCAAGTGTCTTCTACATTTGCCATCAGATCACAAATTACAATTTAAATGGGTTAATGAGTCATGCACAGCTAATATTTCCTGTTTTTTTTTAAAAAAAAACTCCTGTATTCTAAAGGCCCAGTGACTTAGATATACTTAAAAGCCTAAATTAGTAAGTTCACAGTGTTGTATGTTGAAAAAGCAGCAGTTGATATTGATGCAACAGAGTAATATAGAAAGATTGCAGACCCGTGTTCCTGGCTGATTTAACAGCAAGTTTATTTGACAATGAAGAAGTGAAATAAATGCCCTTTTAATGTATCATCCCAACATGCATTTCTGTTATTTCAATAGTCACAAGCGTTGTTACTCTATTTCTCCAGTTTTATTATTTTTTACTTAGATATAAAAATCAAATACTATGTGGGAAAAACAAAGCTTTTATGGAAAGCTAAAAATAGGTTTTATCTGAAATAAGCGCCACTTCTCCTTTTACAACCATGATATCAAAAGCGATTTACACCATGACCTTGCATTTGAAAGAATGCTGTATGTAGTGAGATAAAAAAAATCACTGAAGAATTTAGCAGACTTGTAGGTTGAGGCACTAGGGTCCAAGGGTAAAGATGCAAAAGCAAGAATGAAAAAAAAAAAAAAAACTACCAAGGCAGAATGACTCCTTCCCTCTGGCAAAATCATTGCCTCCCACAAATAAAATTTAACACTCTGATTCTTTCAAGTAAGGCCCTCTGATTTTTTTCATACCATAGCCCTGGGGCCATGCCGAAAGTCATCCTGTTCTTAATAAGGTATCAAGGTTACGATGAATATAAGAAATACATAAGGAACTGAAATAGAAATGGGCATTCCTCTAAGCTAGAAAAGAGTGGTGAGGAGGACTAAAAAGTCAAGCTTAGAAAGACAAAGAAGGAAATGTTGTATAACTTATAAAGACCAAATTCAATATACCAGAAAAATTAGTTCTATTTTTGACACTTTGTAACCTAAAGGTAAAAGGAATCTGGGAGCTCATCTAATCCAACTTCCTGGTCTTCCAAATAAAGAAACTGAAGCTTAGAAAGGTGAGTACTTTTCCCAGTACATTATTTTAAATTCTTCTGGACCTACATTTTTAGAAAGAATAGTGAACTATCACTGCACTCCAGCCTGGGCGACAGAGCAAGACTCCATCTCAAATTTTAAAAAAAAAAAAAAAAAAAAAAAGAATAAAGAATAGTGAACTAAGGAAAGAAAGTTAACACAGTTGAAATGGTGGAAACAAGTTTCAGAAAAGGAAGTATAATAAAATTTAAAGGCTAAATTTAAATGTATATTACTTTGTAGATATATCCTTATGTATTGAAAGAAAAAATTATTGAAGTGCCATTTTTAGACATTCATGATGGCTTATAAAAGTGTTTGTAGATTAGAAAAGATCATATATCTTTGGAAAAGACTAATTGAGAAATGTAAAAATACTGCATTTTGTTTTTTGACCTGGCATTTATGGATAGTACCAGAACATTTTCACTGAGAAAGGATTCATTTTGAAAATCTTTTAAAAATTGAGCAAATAGTAAATGTTTATCTCTAACAGCTAAAATTGAAGAGGCTCATGAAGATTGTGAAGAAGATTCAACAATCTAAATGGCAGAAAATTGTTGCGGGAAGTCACGGACACCAAATGGAGGGACCGGCTGAAGCCATGGCAGAGGAACATGGATTGTGAAGATTTCATGGACATTTATTAGTTCCCCAAATTAATACTTTTATAATTTCTTATGCTTGTCTTTACTGCAGTGCCTAAACATAAATTATGAAGATTTCATGGACACTTATCACATCCCCAGTAAATACCCTTGTGATTTCCTATGTCTCTCTTTACTTTAATCTCTTAATCTTGCCACCTCGTAAGCCGAGGAGGATGTATGTTGCCTCAGGACCATGTGATAATTGCGCTAACGGCACAAATTGTAAAGCATGTGTGTTTGAAAAATATGAAATCTGGGCTCCTTGAAAAAAGAACAGGATAACAGCAATGTTCAGGGAATAAGAAAGATAACCTTAAACTCTGACTGCCAGTGAGCTGGGCAGAACAGAGCCATATTTCTCTTCTTTCAAAAGCAAATGGGAGAAATATCACTGAATTCTTTTTCTCAGCAAGGAACATCCCTGAGAAAGAGAATGCGCCCCTGAGGGTGGGCCTCTGAAATGGCCCCCTTGGGTGTGTCATCTTCTATGGTCGATACTGTAGGGATGAAATAAGCCCCAGTCTCCCATAGCACTCCCAGGCTTATTAGGACAAGGAAATTCCCACCTAATAAATTTTGGTCAGACCGGTTGCTCTCAAACCCTGTCTCCTGATAAGATGTTATCAATGACAATGGTGCCCGAAACTTCATTAGCAATTATAATTTCCTCCCGGGCCTGTGGTCCTGTGATCTCGCCCTGCCTCCATTTACCTTGTGATAGTTTATTACCTCGTGAAGCACGTGATCTCTGTGACCCACACCCTATTTGTACACTCCCTCCCCTTTTGAAAATCACTAATAAAAACTTGCTGGTTTTACGGCTCGGGGGGCATCACGGAACCTACCGACGTGTGATGTCTCCCCCGGACGCCCAGCTTTAAAATTTCTCTCTTTTGTACTCTGTCCCTTTATTTCTCAAACCAGCCAACACTTAGGGAAAATAGAAAAGAAGCTAAGTGAAATATTGGGGGTGAATTTTGCCCGATATCTGGCTGAATTTACCCCGATAGAAAATAATATATACTAAGATGGATAAGCCTAAGAAGATTATTAACGATAAAGGAAAAACAGTCCTCAATTGCATAGAAGAATTCACAGAGAGGATGAATTAGTATCTCTTTACCATCAAAAAAAAATACAACAGAATAGAAAATACAGATAACTGTGAAGCATTTACTAAAAGGCTTGCATCCTCTACCTATTATGGAAATTTTAATTGAAAGAAATGAACAATTCATGCAAGTACACACACATAGCCACGTATATTATATTTTTGCATACCCTAAAAAAAACGCACAGTCTAAATCATTATTTTCCCTTGAATATATACTGAGGCTACCTCAATAGAAATCAGACTGTGGTTATATTTTCCAGAATAGATATTAAGGGCATAGAGTAATTATAATAAATTACTTAAGTGCAGAGGAGCAAACCTCAAAAGTGTCATTTACTATACCTATAGACGGATTTTTCTACCCTCTCAGCTGTATCTTGAAAGTATGAAATTCTTTTGAAAATCAATGGGAATTTACTGACATTTAAAAAATCTGACCTAGCATACCATCTTCTATATAGATAATAATTAGCACATACCAGAAGTTCAGTAAATATTAAATGAAGTCTAGGGCAAAGCAGGATTATTTATTTCCTATTTTGAAGGGTTAAAAGGCCCCACTTAGCTACAAGGAATGCTGAAAATGTGTTATAACTGCACAAAATTTCTACAAAAAATGGAGTTCAGTTAGTAAGTAAAAAGACAATGAATACTAAATAGGCATCTAGCATTCTCTGACACACACCTCATTGCAAAACAACAGAATAGTCAACGTACTTTTTCACCAGCATCACTGCCTAAATTGTATCATTCTTTTATATTTTTATTATTCATATGAAATTATATCTAGTTCGCTGTTATCCGAAATGTTATAATTTTTATTCAATTGCTGCACTATAATCCAAGTCACTATGGTAAACATCTGCATTTTATTAATTTTTCTCCAAGAACAAACTCCAACGTAGTGACTCTATGTTGAACCATACTAGGTTCTTTAACTATTAAGTTATAACGCTCTGTGATTTAGAAAGATATCTCTTTATGGACCTAAAAGGAAGCATTAAGGACATAAGAAATCGGAGTCATTTGATTTGTTTATAAATACTTATAATTAATTCATTTCTACTTTTGCAACCACCACAACCAAAAAATTTACTGTTACTCACAGAAACATACATGTTATTGTGTATGTCACTAAATTTTCACAGAACAACTATAGGATTAGGGTTAGATCAGCTTATATTCTAGCTTTATTGGTTATTGGGCAAACAGGCACTAGATTCTCAGAGCTTTACTTCTAGTATCTCCAACAGATAAAATATTTGGGGCAATTTTTTTTTTTAGACTGAGTTTCGCTCTTTTGGCCCAGGCTGGAGTGCAATGGTGTAATCTTGGCTCACTGCAACCTCCGCCTCCCGGGTTCAAGCAATTCTCCTGCCTCAGCCTCCCCAGTAACTGGGATTACAGGCATATGCCACCACGTCTAGCTAATTTTGTATTTTTAGTAGAGACAGGGTTTCTCCATGTTGGTCAGGCTGGTCTCGAACTCCTGACCTCAGGTGATCTGCCCCCCTCAGCCTCCCAAAGTGCTGGGATTACAGACATGAGCCACTGTGCCCAGCTTGGGGCAGTCTTAATTTAATATGCACTAGTATGCCCACACATGTTGTTTACAGTCTGTATTACCTCTGGTCAGTGTTCATGCCATTGATATTGCTAAATATTTTGAATTCTAATAGCTATATCAGGTTTTCTTTTGACGAACTAGGCAGATTTTTTAAAAGTTTCAATAATTTCCTTCCTTGATCTACTATCACTATGTAATATATAACATATACAAACATGAGCTTTTTAAAGAAAGCTGCATATTCTTTAAGATAAAAATATTGACTCCTTTCGATCAAGATGGCTGACTAGAGATGCCCAACACTAGCCTCCTCCACAAGGAAGAATCAAAACAACAGATAGATACACACACATTAAATAGAGCATCTAAGGGAGAATATTGGAATTCAGCAGCAAAATGACACTCTGAGGCAGAGAAACTTGAAATGTCAGCCTAGAAACAGAAATGAAACAGCCAGAGGGATTGGCTTAGTATCAAGTGAGATTCTCCATTACAGGGAAGAAGTGAGAGACCTTCAGCACTCCACATTTCCACCCCAGGTGCCTGCAGTTCTATCTCAGGAGAGCCCCTTATTCCTCACAGGCCATGCACCTTTTGTAAGGAGCTGCCTGGAGTGCATGTGACTGCATTATTCCAGAAAGGATATTTACACTAAATCCCTGTCATTCCCCCAGGACTCAAACTGATCTAACCTTAATCCTATTTTTTTTGTGTGTGAAAATGCAGAAGTATACATAATACCATGTACATCTCCATGTGCAACAGTGAATTTTTTTGTTGTGGTGGTCACAACCAAAATATAGCATAGAACCTTTCTGAGACCAGAGCCACAAGAGTATCGCACTCTAAGGCCCAATAGGCCCGGCGTATCCACATTACTGACGCCCCACCAGCATCCCTCCACATCCACCCATAGGACTATAGCATCACGGCATCTGCTGGACATAGAGGTGCAACAGTGTCCTTAGCACCCGAGCCTATATAGCACCCTACACCTCAGAGAATAAGCACTTCAGTATATCAGGGAGGCTGCCCCCAAAACAGAGAGCTAAGGCACTCATTCACCAAAACCTGAGAGCCACCCACCTAGAGTTTCAGCACCACCAGCAACCCCGACCCTTCAGTGATGGGGCTCCCACACAGCCCCCAGTGGCCCAAGGATTAGCCTGCCTGGCATTCCCCTCCACAGTAAAGCCATGGCATAGCCTCCACAAACCACCACAACGTCAGTTACTAAGAAATTTGCAGACACTGGTGATACGGATTAGAGCCAAAGATATTGTGTGGAGACTATTAGGTCCGCTCAAAACCAAAGCCAAATCTACCTAATCAACACTATAGATATATCTACAGGGGAAAAAAGTATTTCCTTATGAAAGCTATTCCACAATATTAGAATAAGTGACTGTTACACCAGATGTACAGATATGAATGTATGGACACAAGAAATGGGGAAAACCTAGAAGATGACTCCTCCAAAGGAATACAGTAATTTTCCAGTAGCAGACTCTAAACAGAAGAAAACCTATGAAATGCCTGAAAAGAAATGCAAAAAAAAAAAAAAAAATGCCCTAAAGGGGAGTCAGTGAGATACAGGAGAACACAAGTAGACAATTCAAAGAAACCAGGGAAGCAATCTATGATCTGAATAAGAAATTCAGCATAGAGATAGATATCATTAAAAACAATTAGAAATGTTGAGACTGAAGAATTCAATTAATGAAATACAAAAATACAATCGAGATCTTCAATATACTAAATCAAACAGAAGAAAAGAATTTCTGAACTTTCAGACAGGTCTTTTGAAGTAACCCAGACAAAAATAAAGAATTAAAAAGAATGAAGAAAGATTGCATAACATATTGGATGCCATTAAGTGAAAAGGTGTTCACATTTGCGGAGTTCCAGAAGGAGAAGAGATGGGAATAAGGCATAGAACACTGATTTAATAACATAATAGCTGAAAACTATCTAAATCTTGGGAAAGATACACACATTTAGATACAGTAAGCTCAAAGATGCTCAAATAGAATCAAACCAAAGAAGTCCTTCCTGCGACATATCATAGTCAAACTGTCAAAAGTCAAAGACATAATTCTAATAACAGCAAGAGAAGAGCATCACGTCACATATAGTGGAATTCTCATCAGACTAACAGATTTCTAAGCAGTAACTTTGTAGGCCAGGAGAGATGGAATTATATATTCAAAGTGCTGAAACAAAAAAACTTCTGCTGAGAATACTGTACACAGCAAAGCTGTCCTTCAGAAATTAAGGATAAATAAAGCCTTTCCCAGACAAACAAAAGCTGAGGGAATCTATCACCACTAGATCTGCCCTACAGGAAACGCCTAAGGGAGTTTCACATCTCAAAGCAGAAGGATGATACCTGCCATCGTGAAAGCATATAAAAATATAAAATTCACTGGTAAAGCAAATACATAAATGACAAAGAGAAAGGAATCAAATGTTTTTACTATAAACACTAACTACCTAACTGGAAAAATAAGAGAAAGAAATGAACAAAGGATATACAAAACCACCTAAAAATTATCAAGAAAAATGACAGAAATAAGTCCTCACCTGTCAATAACCTTGAATGTAAACAGTTTAAATTCTTCAATTAAAAGATATAAACTGACTAAATAAGTAAAAACAGAAGACCCAACTACATGCTGCCTGCAAGAAACCCACTTCATGTATAAAGACCCACAAAACAAAGTAAAATGCTGGAAAAAGATTCTACATAGAAAAGAAAAACATGCAGTAGAAAGAAGAATGATTTCAAATATGCAACCTAATTATGCACCTCTAGGAACTAGAAAAGGAAGAACAACCCAAACCCAAATTTAGTAGAAGAAAATAAAGATTGGAACAAAATTAAAAACAGAGACAAAAGATACAAAAGATCAACAAAGCAAAAAGTTGCTTTTTAAAAAGATAAAATTGACAAACCATTACCTAGACTAAGAAAAGAGGAAAGACCCAAATAAAATCAAAAATGAAAAAAGGAAACTTACAACTGATACCATAGAAATAACAAAAGATCATTAGAGACTATTATGAGCAACTACATACCAACCACTTGGAAAGCCTAGAGGAAGTGGATAAATTCTTAAATATGTATGAACTATAAGAATGAACCAGGAAGAAATAGAAAACTTTGACCAACAATAATTAAGGAGATTGAACCAGTAACAAAAATACTCTTGACAAAGCAAAGCTCAGGACTGTATAGATTTACTGCTAAATTCTACCGAACTTTTAAATAACACCAATTATTTTCAGACTATTCCAAAAGAAAAGGAATAAATTTTCCCTAACTTATTCTATGAGGCCAGCATCACCCTAATACCAAAGCAGACGAGGTCACAACAAAAAGAGAAAACTACAAGCCTATATCCTTGATGTACACAGATGCAAAACTCCTATACCAAATGCTAACAAACCAATTCCAACAGCACTTCAAAAAGATAATACACCATAATTAGGTGGGATTCATTCCAGGGATGTAAGGATGGTTTAAAATTAATACATAAATATGATACGTCACATCAACAGAATGAAGAACAAAAATCATATGATCATCTCAACAGATGCTGAAAAAGCGTTTGATATAATTCACCTTCCCTTCATAAGAACTCTCAACAAATTAGGTACAGAAGAACATGCATTAACACAGGAGAGGTCAAATACACAAATCCACAACTAAATCATATTGTTAACTCTTCCCTAAGAAATGGAACAGGACAAGGATGCCTACTTTCGCCACTGTCATTCAACATAGTACTGAAAGTCCTAGGCAGAGAAATTAAGCAAGAACAGGGAAAAACGCATTTGAATTGAAAAGAGAGAAAATAATCTGTTTGCAGATGTTAACCTAACCTAATATAAGGTGTTGCATTAAAGTGAAACTTAACTGTAGTGATTTGTAAAAAGATAGGCATATTAGAAGACAGTCATATTGCTTTAAGTATCTGAAAGCAATAACCACATTCTTACTAGCATGTAAGATTTTTAAGATGAAAATTAATGTCAGTGGCTTTTCTAAAGCAACAATGTAAGTGGTTACTGCTATGAAAAGAAAAATATATAAAAATATATTTTTACTTGAAAGTTAGGTAAAATTGACTTTTTGTACTCTACATATTAAATTACTTTAAATGACTTGATAAGTCGTAACAAAAACGTAACAAACGTATTTTTCTAATTCAATTGATGGAGAAGTACTAACGTATTACATATCATACTTATTTCTAACTTTCAGGAAGTTTTATATAGTACTTCTTACATAAATGAATGTGTAGAAGAAATTTAAAAACTCAGATGTGTTGGAAATAGCAGCAAAGAATTTTAAAGTGTTGTTTGTCTTTTTAAAACTCAACGTATGTTGCAAGGATAGCAATTAACTAACAAGCAGAAAACTTAATTGATTATTTAGAGTTTGACTGCCACCTACAGGGGCTTTTTTAGTCTTTTTTTCTACTACTTCGAAATGATCGATATGACTAAATTTTCACTAACTTGATGAAATTTTGGGAAGAAAAGGGACTTGTGAATCATTTGTTCCCATTAAAGACTTCTTTTAAGAAAATGTGGGCTGGACACGGTGGCTCATGCCTGTAATCCCCACAGTTTGGGAGGCTGAGACAGGTGGATCACCTGAGGTCGTGAGTTCAAGACCAGCCTAGCCAACATGGAGAAACCCCCTCTCTACCAAAAATACAAAAATTAGCTGGGTGTGGTGGCACATGCCTGTAATCCCAGCTACTTGGGAGGCTGAGGCAGGAGAATCACGCTTGAACCTGGGAGGTGGAGGTTGCAGTGAGCTGAGATCATGCCATTGTACTCTAGCCTGGACAACAAGAGCAAAACTCCATCTTAAAAAGAAGAAAGAAAATGTGGATGATCACTCTTGAAATTCTATGTGTGATAGTGTGCATTGATTTAGTGTACTGTGAAGATACAGACTAATCACTCTCCTGCATGGTAAAATGCTTAAAAGCTCATTTTAGGACCACAGTATAAACCTATATATAAAGCAATCATAATTTAATGAACTAATTCCTATAAATGTTGAAAATCTTAGTTTTAATTAAATTTCAAAATGCTTTAACTAAGCTTATTGCTAGGTAGTACATGAAACAAATATATGTTGTGCAAGAAAAATAGCAGTGGTTTAAAAAAGAACAATAAAATTTTTCTTTGGAAATATAACAATATCACTAAGACCTGGAGCCTCAAATTAATTTACCATAAATCAAATCAATTATACATACATTTATCTAGGCACGGACAATCTAAGGTCACTGTGCAAACCATAAAAATCTCAAACATCCTCCTGTACTGGTTAATGTGAGTGATAGCTGTTTCTTTACCATTTATCACTGTAGTGTTTTTCTACTCTTCCCTTCTCCTGAATAAGATTTATTAAGATATTCAGAATAATCCCTACTTCCTGGTAGCTCTAATCCAAAGCAAAATAAAGCATAAGGTGCTTTAATCTACATACTATTCATGCCACAAAATGACTTTTTTTCACGGCTTCATAAGTTTGCAAATGTTTTAAAAAACCTTTTCTTAAAAACCTATACCCTTACATTTTTTGAAATATCCCTATCACTACTAATATGGCTTACATAATTGCTATACAAAGGAATATGGTTGCATTATCTTCTATGACATTTTCAATTAAACTCTAAGTTCGGTATAAAAGGTTACATTTATTTATATAATGAGGAAACGGGAAAAATTTTTCAAAAAATCTTCATTAAAAGAAATTTGACAGACTGAAGTTATTCTCTTTTCTACAACTAATTTTTCTCCATTAGCTACCATATAGATTTCAACTTAGTGTTCTATATACACTATGACATAAACATCACTCAACTAGTTTAAGGGGATAATTTAGCTCAGAAACACGTTCTGAGCCAAATAAATTATAGCTTAGCTTAATCTGAAGTTACAAAACAAACTTGGAAGGAACTTCATAGTTCAGCTAGACCACACAATTTTATGAAAAGTAAAATGAAGCCAATGTTAACACCAGAGAGCTAATATCCAGGGCATCTGGTTCAATATACCATTATGTTCCACTAAATACTCTGCCCTTTCCAAAAGCAATAGGTAAGCAACAACCTAGAGAAGGGTCAAATGGCTATGTAGAATGGATACAGCTTTCCAAGTTGCTCCTCAGAACTGAGGCTCATGAAGCCATCTTGTAAAACATTCCCAGCTACCGCCGTCACAAAAAAAAAAATTAAAAAACAAAAAATCTGTTTATACACAAAATCTAAACGGGCATGTTATCCTCCCAGTCTCAATTTTAATTGAGGTGCCAAGAAGACATAAAACAGCACATAAAAGAGAGTGTAAGAAAATGCAAGCATGTGCAGATTTATAAAGAAAATGGTCCTGAGAACAGGTCCATGTATCTTAGACACCTCAGTAAGATGAAGAATACAAACCCCTAATGGAGGACTCACAGAAGTTTCTGTCAGGAGAGTTTTAAAGAGATACCCTGGGAAAAACTGGGGGCCATGAATATTCCTTACACACATATACTCATTTTCCAATCTGTCTCCTTGATCCTCTGTTAGGACAAGTGAGAAAATGTTACCAAACTCCAAGCTTTAGGGGGTTAACTTTGAAGTTGAAAAATGCAGTGAACTAGTGTGTTTTGATATCTCAGAGAGTGTTAGTCCGTTTTGCATTGGTATAAAGAAATATGTGAGGCTGGGTAATTTCTAAAGAAAAGTGGTGTCTTTGGCTCATGGTGCTGCAGGCTGTACGAACATGGCACCAGCATCTGCTCAGCTTCTGGTGAGGCCTCGGGAAGCTTTTACTCATGATAGAAAGCAAAGAGAGAATACGTACGTCACATGGACAGAGAGTAACCAAAAGAGAGGGAGAAGGTCCCAGACTCTTTGACAAGCAGACCATGTGATAACTCATTAACCACAGAGAGGGCAGCAAACCATTCATGAGGGATCCATCCCTGTGACCCAAACACCTCCCACCAGGCCCCACATCCAGCTTTGGGGATCACATTTCAACCTGAGATTTAGAGGGGACACACATCCAAACTATGTCCAAGTGAAAATGGAACGTTGACTGTGGACTGTCCCGACGAAGCGCTTTGGTGATGAAGCTGGAAGTGTGGTGTTGCTTCAGCATCAATCCACCCTCCCAGAAGATGCTGGTACAGGTGATGTGTGAGGATATCAAGTTTTTAACAAGACATAAGCTACACTGCAAAGGTGGGAGTCTTAACGTTAGAGGTCATCTCGTGTCCTGAGCAATATAGAGCTATCTGCAAGAGCAAGGACACTTTAAAATAGAGTGGTTGGATATGCACTTCCACCTGTCCATGGGATGAGAAGAGTAACAAATGTCCACCTAGATGTATCTGCCCAGGTTAAAGGGAACTTTAGGATGGTGGGTCCTAGCCAGATACACTGCCAGATTACACCAAACTCTTTGTGAAAATATATATATTTTCTTTGTGATATATATATATATATATATATATATATATATATATATATATATATATATATATATCAAAAGACATCTCTGTGGGATGTAGCCTTACATGATTCTTGGCAATTAAATGACATTTTTTAAAGTACCTTCATTGTCTGAGTGTGTGCAACCTTCAAACCAATGAATGCTGTCAAGTGAGCAGATTTGGCCTGGAATTATGTTTCAAACTGCTCTTTCTGCTTAGCTCCTTCGTCTGCTCAAAATGAATGTCAAAAGTGGGCACCCTGGGCCTGGCAGGGGATTGTAGAAGAGTACACAAAAATGGCATGCTTGTGCGAGAAAGATTTAGCTTGAAAAAAGAGGCCAGCCTTAAATTTTTAACTTCTAGGCCCAGGAAGCCGAAGCTAGCTTATGATTTCACCCCTTGACATCAAAAATGCAATCCCTCTGCCTATTGCATGGATTCAGTTGTGTCTTCCCAAAATTCAGATGTTGCAGTCCTAACTCCCAGTACTTCAGAACATGACCTTCTTTGGAAACAGAGTTGTCGCACATATAATTGGTTAAGCTAATGTCATCCTGGGGTAGAGAGGGCCCAGTATCCAATATGACTGATGTCCTTATTAAATAATGCCATGTGAAGATACAAACAGAACACAAGGAAATGTCATGAGAATATAAATGCAGAGATCTAGGTAGTACATCTACCAGACAAGGAAAATCAAAGATCGCCAGAAAATCTCTGCATGGGAAAAACTCTCCCTTGCAGGTCTTTGGAGGAATTAACCCTTCCAACACTTTGATCTTGAACTTCTAGTATCCAGAACTGTGAGAAGGTAACTATTTGTTTAAGCCCCTCAGTTATGGCAATTAGTTATGGCAGCCGTAGCACACGAATACACCTGTCCTCCCAAGTTACCCCTTAGACCTGGGCAGCTAGCTAGCAGGAGAGGAGGTGAGTGTGACAAAAGTAGACAGCAGAGGATGATGCCCCTATCCCACTATAGCCTTCATCTCCAGCTGAAGGATGACAGAAGCTTTATATTAAGTTTGGAGTTTGATTGCCTCGACATTTTAATGACTGAATTGAGACTACATCTGTTTAAAGTGTCAATAGGTCTTAATCAAGAGTAAGCAGAAAAGCCACTGGATCTTCCAGAGATTTATCAAAAAGCAAGAGGAGATTAGTACCGCTGGATAAAGCACAAAGAAACAGTAGGAGAAAAAAATGAAGTCTCAGTGTGGTCAGAATCACACACGCTATGTCATATTTGGTCCACATCCCTCAAGACAAAATAAACACTATGCCCTAAACTCCCCATAAGTGACCAAGCTAACTCCGAATCCGAGGGTGTTTTTTTCTCTACAATAAATTACATTATCTGGTATTTGAAAAAGTGAAATAGTCTTTTTCCTTCAGTACATCTCCTACTATCTTATTTCCGTTGCCTTTTCTCTTGATCATTTCTAATTATTATACTATAATTGTTCTTCTGATTAATATTTCAGTGTGGTAGATTTTTGCAACAATAGCTAAAGTTATTCATCTTCCTGTAAACAAGCTCCTTTGTAATGGGACTTTTCAGCTCTTCCCATTCAGAGGGAGTTTTTTTTTTCTCCTTCTTACCTGTTAACTGTCAGCTGTCCTTGTGACTTGCTTTGACCAGTGGTCATGCGCCATTCTCTAGTGTAAGTGTTAACAGATGTTGCACACTCCTGTCCTTTCTCTTAGAACCCTGCCATCGTCATGTGATCAACCTCTGGTTTACAGGAGAATCAAAGACCACAGGGGGCAGAGACAAACCAGCCAGGTAGCAACCAGCCAAACTAGCAGATAACTGCAGACACGTGAATGAGCTCAACCCAGACCACAAGAACAAAAGCAGAGGAATTCAACCCAAAATTCCACCCCCAAAACTTTGAGATAAAGGGTTGGTTTTAAAAACTAATTTTTATGGCGTGTTACCTAACAAAGTTAATCGATATACTCTGCAAATAACCAGCCTGTATTTTACCACAATTATCATTTTATTTTTGCCAAATTCATAATTTTATGTCTACTTATGTGGTAGTGTATTATTCCTAAGTTAACACAGAAGCTAATAATAGTGAACAGGTTGTACAGTATATACTGCGTGCTCATCAGCTGCCTTTGAATTAAATGATCACTATGAGAAGATAAAATGAACACACTTCCAAAGAAGAAGAATAGCTATCTGGAAAGTGTTTCCATAGCACAGGAAATAGACAATTAGTATACACGGCCGCTGGCAGCAATCGACTCACTTGATTGCTTACTATTACCCCTGTTTCCTTTTGGTGAACTGCTGTGGTTTTCACTGTCTTATTTTCGGCATAGGATTTTAACTCGTCAATAGAAATAAGTGGGCTGTAAATATTAGTAAGTAAAATGATACATAAATAACATGGCAACACTTCTTTTATTCTCGAATGTCTTGGTTAACCTGGAATTGTCAAGCTATATTTCAAAAATCTTTAAACTTTTGAAACATAATATTTACATCATGATTATGACAACAACTCACACAGGCTTCTACAACCCACTGTGAAACCTAGACTGTACAAAATGTAATGCAGCAATAATAATTATTCCTTGTTCTCTGCTGAGCAGATGGAGATAATTCAGGATGGGAAATATAAAACCTACATGTTAAAGTCTATCTGAAATAAATAAGAATTCTTGAGTTAAAAGCTAGTGATTCACTGAAATCTGTTCTTTTAGTATTACATGAATAAAAATAATGTATTTATTTTAGGAACACAAGTTTATCTATTTGAGAGAATCAACCAAATATTCCACTCTGTTTAGGCTCTGGCTCTCTCCTCAAATATCCAACACCACTTCTCCTATCGCCAATCTCAGATAATGACCTTATACTCCATTACAGCTACAAAATTGAAGCAATCAGAAGGGAACTTACACAAGGTCCCACCGTCACATGTAATAAGTCCTCTAACTGTGACCAAATGCCTTGCCTTCTCTTCTATTACTATGGATGAACTCCTATTCCAAGCCAATTCTCCCAATTTCCTCTATAAACCTGTGGGCCCCTGTGAATTTCTGCTACATTTTCTTTTTTATCCAGCATGAAGTCCTCTAATGTTTATACATACATATATATATATATATGTGTGTGTGTGCGTGTGTGTGGAGAGAGAGAGAGAAATTGAGCAAGGGTATGGTTTTAGCACACTAGTTATCAAACCACAGACCAACAGCAGCCAACAGCACTTAGCAACTTGATAGGAATGCAAATTCCCAGGCCTTAGACCAGGTCTATGAATCAAAACTTCTATCAGGAAGCCCAGTAATCTGTATTTTAACAAACCTTCCAGGTGATTGTGCTGCACAGTAAGGTCTGAGAAACACTGCACTAGCAATTGCCCCCCATCTGTCCAGTGACCACAATTTTTCTTTCTCAGTTAGATCTTACAATTAGCACATAATTATGTTTTATTTCCTAGCTTCATATCAAATAAAATCATTCTTGAACCTATGTGATTCTCCTTCTATACCATTATCATTGTTTTTTTCTTCTCATAGAAGAATGTCATCCAATTTACTTATACTTGCTAAAACAAATTTTTCTTCTTTCCTTGCTACTGAATCCACTCCAGCAAGACTTCTATCAATCTTAATCCATTGAAATAACATCTGTGAAGATCTCCACTGACCACTAGGTGACCAAATCTAGTGTACAATTCTAAGTTCTCACCTTATTTGGACTACAGCAAGATTTGACCTGGTTGTATATTCCCTCCTTCTTGAAACACTTTTTCCCCACACTGGGTTCATAGGACACCTCTCCTTGTTCTTTTCATAAATCATTGTCCACTCTATCTGGTTTCTTTGCTGTTTCCACATCAACTCATCAACCATAGAATGTTCAAATGTTCCAGGGCTCAATTCTAGAATCTCTTTTTATATATACTCAATTCCCAAGTGACTGTATTCTGTTTTAAGGCTTTAAATGTTAGCTATATTCTAACATCTCCCAAACTGTATTTCACAGACTTGAATGCTAACTTTTGAATGATAGAAAATATGATTAATTATACAATACACATTCTAGTAAAATGTTTATTTTCTCTTATTAAGAATTTTAAAAATTGTTTAATGACTTAAAATATTAAGGGGACTGACTTCTGACATAATGAATTGAGTTCAATGAAACTCCTCCCCAATAACATACTAAGTATAGTTAGTATGTTATCTAACTATAAAGCTAGATAACAGTGTCCAAACAAGTGTTTTTAACACTTCAAAAACAAACTTTTCAAAATAGTGCGTTTATTCATGACAACTACTGATCCTCAAGTAAGAACAGCATTAGTCAATGCAGTGCAGACCTAGGGCTCCAAAACCTCCCGCCCCCCAGCTTTTGCCAGAGCAGTAGTTCTGTTAGGACAGGGAAGGTTACAAAAACCAAAAGCTTTGCTACCTCTGCAGAGAGATCACTTGATTTAGAATGTCATTGTTGAAGTGGCAATCTCAGTGACCAGTGAAGAGGAAAATCTAGTTTTGAAGAAAAAACTAACCGGTGGACTAGCCTGACATTTAACAGAAATTATCTTGGGGGAAGACATCCACACGAGACTTGATAAGCCCTCTGTATATTGCCAGTTGTCCAGGGGTTGTACAAGCAAGCATCATCACACACTGGAGTGGACTCAAACCTTCTGTACATCTCTACCATGTGTGTGAAAAAGAAATACCAGCATTAAGTAAAAGTCAAGAGGACTTGAAAATGCCCTGTAGTTTGAGTTCCTCGCCAATATTGATCTATCAAAATAGCATGGAAGCCTTAGTGGTTCGAGGTGTTTAAACACAGTCTCTGACTAATCTTTGGCAGAATATTATGTTGTGCAGACAAGCGGGAAATCCCAGGAAATCGAAGCTCATAAATAAAACATTTTAAATTGAGCAAGAACATAAGTATTCACACACTGTGGTGAAGACAGACATCAGAGATTTAACCCACGCAAGTTACTAAATAAACAAGCAAACAACGACGACTCAGAAAACCTTCAGAATCTGAAGTTGCTGCAATATATTATTTAATATGTTCAGTACTCAACAAAAATAACTACAAGAGTGCAAAAAAACCAGCTGGGTGTGATGGCTCACGATTGTAATCCCAGCACTTTGGGAGGCGGAAGCGGGTGGATCACTTGAGGTCAGGAGTTGGAGACCAGCCTGGCCTACGTGGTGAAACCCGTCTCTACTAAAAATACAAAAATTAGCAGGGCATGGTGGTGCACACTTGTAATCCCAACTACTTGGTAGCCTGAGGCACAAGAATCATTTGAACCCAGGAGTCAGAGGCTGCAGTGAGCCAAGATCGCAACCACTGCACTCCAGCCTGAGTGACGAGGTAAGACTCTGTCTCAAAAACAAAACAAAACAAAACAAAACTGCAAAAAAACAAGTCTAACCAATATTCAGGGAAAAAAGGAGTCAATCAAAACTGTCCCTCAGTGTCCCTATATGGTTAACTTAGTTAACAAATACTGCAAAAATGCTATTACAAACATGTACATAGAGAAAAGAAACTATATCTAAAGAATTATAAACTATATCTATAAATTATAAACTTTATAAACTATATAAATTTAAACTATATCTAAAGAATTAAAGTGTCATGACAATGACTCAATAACTAGAGAATATTAATATGGAAATTCAGATTATAACCAAAAAACAAATGGAAATTATAGAATTAAAAAGCAAAATAAGTGAAATAATTCAACAAAGGACTCAAAGCAGATTTGAAATAGCAAAAAAAAAATCATGAATGTATTTAAAAGGATGAACAAATTTACATTCATTGACTTTTTGAAGACATTTAGTATAGAAATAGTTTGTATAACTCCCATGGCTCTGCTGTCGAACTAACAACCTATCTTGAACAATAGTACCTACATATATGGACACATAACATAATAAGTAGGCAATATTTGGAAATGTAAGATTTTCATATGAGTATAATTGCCTTACCTTAAATCATGGCAAAACCAGAACTATTGCAGGTATGATCTAGCAATGCAATAAAACTTTTCTAAAACATTAATATATATAAATTTTAGAACTATAGAAGAGCTAAGAGATTTAGTCCACTGACTTGTAAAAAGTAAGTCTCTGAAACTTGATCTTTTGATACCCACCACCTAAATCAGCCACTAATAATCCTTTTGTATAATTCCCATTTCTTGAGTTATCTGATGCTGCAGGCATCATCGTCTGATGTTTTCTTTTGTGTCTAACAAACTAATTCAATATTCAATTTTGGAATTTTGAATCTGAGACCTGTTGACAGAGATCATCAAATGTGGTAGTAAATGAAGAAGTTGTAATAGAGAAAGAAGCCAACAAGGAGAAGATGAGTTGTGAAGAAGTCTAAATTGCCATGTCACAAGTCACTGAAATTGTGCTTGAGCCTCTAGCATTTCTTCTACACTCTGAGTCAAGCCTGAGCATATTGTTCTTCCTTGAAATCAAATGCACTTTGAGAGACAGGAATACTAGATCTCAGAGACGGTCAGTGACTTTGCCAACTTTTCCAAGGAATTAGAGTCTACATTACAACTCAACTTATCTGGCTAGCAGTTCAGCCA
Source organism: Homo sapiens (assembly GCF_000001405.40). Lineage (NCBI taxonomy): Eukaryota > Metazoa > Chordata > Mammalia > Primates > Hominidae > Homo > Homo sapiens. The sequence continues at coordinate 13,682,248 of NC_000008.11, read as the reverse complement.
TTTTTTGCCCATCACTAATTTACTTCTAATCATTTACTTTAAAAATTATTTACTTCTAATCATCTATCCATAAAATTACTTGATACTACAAAAACTATATATCTGTTATCAAGAAGACTTCTCCTACCTTCATTTCTTAACACAGCAGCTATTTCTAGCTGTTGCCTCTATGAAGTTTATTTTACTTTTCTATGGACTTAGATTGTTCTTAAAGTTTCTTCTGCTGGCTCTCCCCTACCCCTAATGCTGATGAAATCTCATGACCCTTTACTGGTTTTCCAAGATTGTTTTGCAGATCATAATGGTAGGTTTTTGATTTTCATTTTTTTTAACTGTGAGTTACTTAATTTTTAAGTGCAACAATAAAATTAATGACAAGTGTTCACTGTCAAGATTTTAAGGTCTCTTAAGTACGCGCTCTCCTTAAAAAAGAAAGTGACTAAGTCTTAGATTTTATTCTTCTACTTGTTATGAAGGCAGAAATGAAATGCATATAATGCTATGTTTCTGAATTCACAAAAGATAAGGATAATATTCATGTAGATTTGAGAAGACAAGCACAAGCATTCCTTAGCTCATTGGTCTTCCAAATGTACTCTATTTTTCTCCTAAAAGAGTTCTGGAGCACTTTGCACCCCATCATACAACTTAATATTTACAATTCTTCATTATTAATTTAAATCACTTCAAAAGTCTGAACTTCATGGATAGGGTAAATATTGGCATTTAAAACTAAAACTGATGCATTTCTTTAAACTGTATACATAGGACACTAAATTCATTTTAACTATGCATTTGACAGAATGAGAACACCACATCAACAGCTCAAAGAGAAAAATTAAATCCCATTAAGTGAAAAAGTTTTCTAAAGTTCAGGCATATTATGCTTGAAATTGTATGGGATGACATTTTGTCCTATATCTGTTCACAAGTGGCAGTTCTGATTTTATGAATAAAGTTTATTTTGTTGAAATAAACAGCAAAACAAGTGAAAGCCTTAGGCCATGAGTTGGTGAGGGGCTAACAATGTGCTAAATATGTTAGTTAAATATTGCCGGACACGATGGCTTATGCCTATAATCCCAGCACTGTGGAAGGCTGAGGTGGGTGGATCACCTGAGGTCAGGAGTTCAAGACCAGCCTAGTCAACATGGTGAAACCCCATCTCTACTAATAATACAAAAATCAGCCGGGTGTGGTGGCAGGTGCCTGTAAATCCCAGCTACTCAGGAGGCTGAGGCACAAGAATCACTTGAACCCGAGAAGCAGAGGTTGCAGTGAGCTGAGATCACACCACTACACCCCAGCCAGGCAACAGAGTGAGACTCTGTCTCAAAAATAAAAAATAAGATTATATATATATGTATATATATTAGAATGTGTATTATCTGAAGGTTAACACAAATCTATTAAGTACATGGAAGGAGTTCATGACTACATAAATAGTTTTTGTTTGACAGCAAGCAGGAAACATACACCTAAAAAAATAAGTGGGTTTAATGTCTTCAGTAACTTATTAGAAAGATTAATAAAGAAATATTTCCAAAAATTGAATATATTTTAAGAATAAAATTGATTTACCTCTATTACTTGTTTCTTCTATTTCAAGAAATAACACTAATCTGTTAATAACATGGGAATTTCCCCCCTATTTCTTGATATGATGCTGTCTACAACTAAGATACAGATTAAGACTCACTGAATGCTCCCTTATGAGAATAAAAATGCACAGTACATTTTGTAGAAGATTAGTGTTTCGCATCATGACTTTACTAAATTTTAAGTGTTCCAGGATAGATATGTGGATAATGCATGGCAGCTTCCAATGAGCTTGCTTTCTGGTAGAAACAAGGAGCTTCTCTTCTCTTTACTACTTCTTGGTGGTATTCTCCATTTTACTCTCATGAAACTTTTCCTCAGGAAGCCTGCATTCTTTACAGTAGTGGACAATAGAAGAGAATGGTTCATTAAATTAATATTGTTACCAAATATTGCTACTACGACGTCCACTCCACTCTACCACATACCCCAGCCAAAATATCTCATTTCGTGAACTGATAGATGAGGGACAGATGATAGACAAAATTTTGCTTTTTACTTTAAATTTTTTAATTTACTTCTAACCATTTACCATTTGACATTACAAAAACTCTACATGTGTCATCACCATAATCCTATGTAAAAGGACTTTTGTAAAGCCCTGTTATGTAGGATTATAGTGATGACTCCTGTATTTCAAATTGGCCCTTTTTTCAAGCCCTACAGTTTCTCTTTTTTCCCCTCAAAGTACTATGTTTATTACACTATAGAGTAGTATTTTACACATTAGCTCATTTTATAGTAAAAACATCTATGTACAACTGTAGAGAAACTGCTGCACAGATAACTCCAACTCAAATTAGAAAATATTTTCTCCGTAGAAAATAGTAAAAATTGTAACGTTTACCAAGCTAGCCCAACAAGTTCATTTAAACCAAATAGTAGCTAAATACATTATACATTTATTAATACAAGTTGAATTCTGAGATCCAGGAGAAACTTCAGTTTCGTTTATTGAAACAGCCATGTTTTAACTTATGTGAAGTGAAATTTCCATTAATCTTCTCTTTTACTCTTAATGTATGCCCGATTGTTTTTCTTTATGCTAAATCCATAATCCACAACCAGGTTTTAGCTTTTCTCTTCTAAAGGAAAGGCAACATATCCTTTTAATCTGCTTGATAAGGTACCCATGGCTATCCCAATAATGAAATGGTTCGATTGTTCTTAAAGCAGTCCCAGTATTTGGGCAAAACTAGAATCTAATAAATTACACTGTCACCTAATACCCATGGCTTGACGGGAAGCCATGAGTAACAAGGGTAAAGTGATAAAACCGCAAGTGGATCAAGGAATAAAAGCCAAGAGAATTCTGAGAGCAGAGGGCAAGAAACATCTAGTCATGATTGAAGGACAGAACTGAAGTTCAAAGAGAAAAAGGATGTCGCCTCAAGGATCAGGAGCTGAGCTGGCTGTCAGAGCCCTTAGTACATGTTGATAAAATAAGGGGCAGTTAGAGATAAAGACTGGATTAAGCAAGAAAAACCAGGACCTAGAAAGATTCTAGGTGTTCACAATAATTCAGTGAAAACAAGACAGACCATGTGGCTTTAAATATCCTAGCATAGTATGTTCCAGGATTCCCAGTACAGAAAAAATCTCTGGAAATTAAGGCGAGAAGATAATACCACTCTTAAGCTCCTGTGCTATGTATGTTTCCCAGATAAATAATACCTGAGAAATCAGGCAGAGTTATCTGGCCAAGAAGTCCTACAGTTTCTTACCCTCTAGAATAATGATCCATAGTGAGAATCAAAATGGGTGAGAGACGTGTGAGAATGAAGAAAAGCATAGCCGCCCAACCACAGGTGCACTTTCAGGCAGATCAATTTAAGAAAAATACGCATATCAAGTTCCAATAAGACTATCATTACAAGGTTGAGTTCTCTCAAAAACAACTTGGAGATGAAGTTTGTGGTATTAGAAGTTTATTAGCAAATGTAATCAAAATCAGTGTGGGGAAACAGGAAGACACCAGATGGGGCAGAGGGAAACACAGAGCTGTGATGTCAATTAGGCAACAGCCTCAGGCAACCATGTGGGGAACACAGGAGATCAAGTTCTTGCCAATCCTAGGAAGGGTATGGCCCCAAGTAAGAGGGTCGCTTCCCAGAAGACAGGACAACAAGCCTTTCCTCGATTACAGATGGGGATGATCACGCTATGCCTGGAGCCCTTAAGAAAGTTCTTGGTCCCTATAGAACATGTATACTACAGTTGTGAATGCTACTCATAGCTCAACCTGCTAGAGAAAGAGGTATTTCATATTTCTTCTGAGTATGAATTTAGGCTTCCTAGATTTAGTGAGTGACAAGACTAAATACATGTGGTACAAAAAGCAGGGCCAATATTGTGAAGAGGATAGCTTTGGACTGCAATTTCTTCTCCTTCTCTCTCTCCCTCCGTCTCTCCCCTCATCATCTTCAGTTTGACCACCATAAATCCGGCCTTAGAGCTAGGCAAAGACGAGAGTGGAAGACTACAGCATGGGGCCTTGAATGTAAGACAAAGGGTTACCTTGAGAAAGCGGTGGAAGAAGAGGCATACGCGTCAAGAATTGCTGAGGACGAGGACGTCCCCATAGGATTTTATGCACAGGAGAAGAGGTAAACTTTAAAGACCTCAGGATTTATGTTCAGAATATAGTTATTTGAAGATTTTATCCTCACTATGACCTTATAAGATATTTTTAACACATCTCCCAATGGTATATAATATGGACTGAAAAAGATAAGTAAATGCTGAGAAATTATGTGGCTATCAGCACTGGATCCAGATGAGTTGACAATAATTAGGACAGATAAGATGATGTATTCAAATCAATAAAACTCAGTGACCTTTTGGAAATGGGTGGATAAATGAGATGAGAAGTCAAAAATAGATCTAAACTTGCAAACTAAATAGGAACAAAAATGTGGAAAAAAACACCCATTTTGAGGGAAATGTTCTATGCCTACTTTCAAACACATTACACATTCAATGTAAGAATCAAGTCAAATGTTTACTAGGCATACAACAGGACACAGAAGAATATAGGACTGGAAAGACAGATTTCAATATCGTCATATTAAATAATACGATATGTTTTTAAAATATTCTATTTTCAGATTATTTGATTTTACTCAGTTTATATTTTTAAAAAATAATGAACCCATAAAGATGCCATTAACACTTTTTTTTAAAAATGACTGTGCCCGACCTAATTTTACTTAGTCTTTCAATCCTTAAATTTAAGCTAATTATTTAATTCGTTATTTCATATTAGTATTAGCCACATTTTATCACAATTATACCCTCATATGTCATATATCACGACACATGTAAAATACATTAACATAAATTTGGTTGTATTACAAAGGGGGAATATAAGACTTTTGATTTTTACCAAGTGATGAAAGGTTTTAATATGATTGCAACTCAGTATATTTTTTGATAGCACTATAAATTTGCTCTCACCATGCAACTTACTGCATTTTGTGTTGCTATAACAGAATACCTGAGGATGGGAATTTATAAAGAAAAGAAGTTTATTTAGCTCATGGTTCTGCAAGCTGGGAAGTTCAAAGAGCATGGTGCCAGCATCTGTTCAGCTTCTGATGAGAGCCACATACTGTGTAAAAACACAATGGAGATGGCCAAAGGGGAAGCAAACACTTGGGAAGAGGCAAAACAATCAGGGGCCTTGTTGCAGGAAGTCAGGGACCCCGAACGGAGGGACTGGCTGGAGCCGTGGCAGAGGAACATAAATTTGTGAAGATTTCATATCAGTTCCCAAATAATACTTTTATAATTTCTTATGCCTGTCTTTAATCTCTTACTCCTGTTATCTTCATAAGCTGAGGATGTAAGCTCAGGACCACTGTGATAATTGTGTTAACTGTAAAAATTGATTGTAAAACGTGTGTGTTTGAACAATATGAAATTAGTGCACCTTGAAAAAGCACAGAATAACAGGGATTTTTAGGGAACAAGGGAAGACAACCATAAGGTCTGACTGCCTGCAGGGTCAGACAAAAAGAGCCGTATTTTTCTTCATGCAGAGAGCCTACAAACAGACGTGTAAGTAGGAGAGATATCGCTAAATTCTTTTCCTAGCAAGGAATATTAATACCCTGGGAAAGGAATGCATTCCTGTGGGGTCTATAAATGGCCACCCTGGGAATGTCTGCCTTTGTCGTTTACATAAGGACTGAGATATGCCCTGGTCTCCTGCAGTACCCTCAGGCTTATTAGGGTGGGGAAAAACTCCGCCCTGGTAAATTTGTGGTCAGATGGGTTCTCTGCTCTCGACCCCCATTTTCTGATGTTTATCAAGACAATACGTGCACCACTGAACATAGACCCTTGTCATTAGTTCTGCTTTTGCCCTTTGCCTTGTGATCTTTGTTGGACCCTTATTAGTAGTTCTTCTTTTTGACTTTTGCAGCATGTGATCTTTGTACCTACTCCCTCTTTTACACCCCCTCCCCTTTTGAAACCCTTAATAAAAAACTTGCTGGTTTGAGGCTCAGATGGGCATCATGGTCCTCCTGATATGTGATGTCACCCCCGGTGGCCCGGCTGTAAAATTCCTCTCTTTATACTGTCTCTATTTCTCAGCCAGCTGACACTTATGGAAAATAGAACCTACATTGAAATATTGGGGGTGGGTTCCCCCGATAGGACCTGTTTATAACAACCCACTGTCTTGGGAATAATCTATTTCCAAGAGAAATAACCCATTCTGTTGCAAGCATGAACTCACTCACTACTGTGAGAAAGGCAACAAGCTATTCATGAGGGAGCCACCCCATAACCCAAACACCTCCCACTAGGCCCCATCTCCAATACCACTGCACTGGCAACCACACTTCAGCATGAGTTTTCGGGGAGTAAACTATATTCAAACCATGGTACCATGTCTTTTACCAAATAAACAATGACTGAAATGAGTTTAGCTATAGCAATTTTTTTGGAATATTTGTATCAAATAATGACTAGAACCACCTATTAAAATATTCTGTATTATCCATGTAAAACAAACACTTTTTATTTTTTAAAAAAAGGTATGGTTCTCTATATGTAGCTTTCACATTTGACTATAAGAATATTTATAGGTTCTAAACATTCTCACGGGTAAAATAATTTTAATTAAAAAGGTAATGTCAGTAATTTGTTGTCTTATAAGTCAAATTGTTCTTGATTGAAATAACGTATGATTCAGTAATGTAAAAATATATATTATTTATGGAGATGTAGAAAGTGTTTTTTGAGGGAAAAAACTAAACAGTCATCAACATCCAAAAGTGGATTTACTGAGTCCAATATAACTTATATAGTGCAGAACTGGTATTGTTAGTCAGAACACACCTTTATGGCCTTTTCTGAAGAAAGTTGTGTTGAGGAGAGATAATTTTAGCTACTCTTCTGTCATTTTTCTCATCTCCTTTGACTCTGTAAAGCAAAGTTTTGCTAAGTCTGACCAGTTAAAAAATGAGAACTACATACAAACTCATAAAATATGACTGCTGTATTCTAATGCAAGGGAAATAATATAGAGATGGATGTGTAGTATCAATGAATGAGAAGCTTAAGAGGAAACTGAGACTTCTGTAATCTGTATATCCATTTGGAAAAAGATGAAACTTCCCATTAAATTATGCAGCTCATTCCAGATGACCTGTAGCTCTAAGAAAAACAATACAACTTCCAGATGATAATACAGGAAAATAAGTTCCTTGTCTTGCCATAAGGAGAGATTTTTTAAAACAAATACAAAAAGCATTAACCTTAAAGGAAAAGATAAATAACAAGAACTACATTAAAAATATTAATGTCTGTTTATCAAAATATGCTACACAAAATACCCTATGCAACACATAACCAAGAAAAGCCTCACAACCAGAATGCTTAAAAAATAATATATGAATCAATAAGAATATGTAGAGTCAACACAGTAGAAAAATGGGCAAGAGTTACGAAGAAATCAACAAGTGAAATTCTATTCAAACTTCATTAGTCATCAGGATAATTCAAGTTAAATTTATAACGAGATGTTACTACATAATATGCCAGCAGGGCCAAAGTGGAAAGAATGGTACACCAAGTGCTGTCAAGGACATGGAGCAACAGGAACTGTTATACTCCTCGTAGGACAGTAAATAGGCAAAACTATTTGGAAAACAAAAAATTTTATTCACTACTAATTTGAACAGGCGCATGGACAAAGATCCCATAATTCTACTCCTAAATTAGCAACAGAAATGTGCGTATCTATCTATCCATACACACACACCCACATAATGATTCCAATTAAATATATTTCCAAGGCAAGGAAAAATAAAATATTATGTTAGAATTCAAGATAGTATCTACATTCACCACTAAAGAGGGGCTTAGTATTTGGGAGAAGTCACAAGAAGTGCTTCTAAATGAAGTCAGCATTCTATTTTGACTGGGACATTTGCTACACAGGTGTTCAGTTTATGAGAATTTATTAAGCTGTACATTTAGATTCCTGCTCATTTTTCTATTTTTCACAATAAAAATAAAATAAAATCCTGGGGGGAAGTACTTCCAAACTCGGAAGCTTGTTTACATTTTAACAACTTTGCGTTTTAAAGAAATATGTTTTTTTCCTCTTTACCAAATGAAGAGGATTTCTTGTTACCTGAGCAGGCAGATATTTCAGGTTTACAAAATATAGAACTCTTTTAGTACTTTATGTGGAATACAGAAACCCATGTCACTCCACAAAACTGAGCTCTATCAACTGAATTTCATTGGTTAAAAACTAAGTATAAGTGTTACTTATCAACAAAACAGTTGAGAACAATTCCATGCTGCATGGAAGTCATCTATGCCCTGGTCTATATCATATCTTCTTTATAGAAATGTGTTTAATATGAATTAAGGGTTGAATTAATATGAACTGAGGTTGACTTAAGAGAGTTCAATTTCAATGCTACATTGTTTTAGTAATTTATACTTGGAAAATCGTTGTGTGTACCTTGTATTATATGATGGAAATTCTCTTCTGAAAAAAAAAAAGTCAGGTCTTAGGTGGAGTAAAGTTCCCTCGAGAAATACAAATGAGTATTTTTTTTTAGGTGGAACAAACTTCCCTTGAGAAATACAAATTGATTGTTTTTAGAGGCCAAATTCCATTTATGTCAGAGCATAGTGCTAATAAGCATCATACAGGCAGCCTGAAAGTTTGTACTTAGCAGATGAATCCAAGTCCTCAAAAGAGCCACACACCTCTGATGCTGCTCCTGAACTGAATGCCGCTAGGATTCCAGGAAAGCAATTGGATGCACCGGGAGCTAGACTTGTCTCTGAAGTAAGACCAAAGACTGAATACTGCTCTGAGAAAAGAAAATCAATGTGAAAACAGTCTATTTTTTTATATCCCATGGATAAAGATAAAGTGTTGAGTGAAAGAAATGATGAAAACCTTTCTAAGTTATTAAACTACTTATATTGCCCTTGAAACACAGGGGCCAAACTCAGTTATTTCTGTTGAAAAGAAAGTAAGAGTCTGGGCTTTGAATTCTGGGCTTCACAGAGCACTGCAAAATAACAAGGTAAGTGAAGAGCCAGCCAGTCATTGAGCATGTGCCAAGAGGGTCATTGTAAGAAATCAAACCCTGTCCATACGAAGCGATGAAACCAAATTCACTAGCTGGAATGGGCCAGCATTGCAAAGAAGCAGAATCCATTGTACTTTGCAGTATAGGCCCTAATAGCAAATCAATGAGTAAATTCCATGACCTTTCTTTTTTGCCCATAAAATGTAGCCTGCTGTGCTGCAGAACGGCATAAAACAGAGAGAGAAATCGATTTCAATTGAAGAAAGCCCTGAAGTGGAGTAAGGGAACCCTTGCTGTGGTTCATAATTCCATTCTGAGTTATCACCATGTTGCTGTTCAACGTAGGAATGGAAAGAAAGGATGTATAACTTGGAAAAGAAGCATCTCTTGGGACAGCTCCCAGATAATCTGGGAAACGCAACTCCTCAGTCTCTCAGCCCATGTGGGCTTTATAGGGTTTCACTTTCCTTTAGGGATGCTAGGATAATACAACTCTGCAAATTATAAGGTACTTGCCTGGATTCAACAAATTTCATGTGATTGTTTTTCCCCTGAATTACCACCCCACTCATGATTGCCTTAAATTTCTACTACGGAAATACAAGCCTAGCCTATGTGCATGAACTGTTAAACACCAACTGTAGTTCTTACAATATATGAAGCTTTATTTAGTACACTGCAATAGATACCTCCCAAATTATATGTCATTGCTGTTCAAGACTTAAAAATCTACTTGCAGCCTGGACAACGTAACAAGACCTGTCTCTTAAAAAACAAACAAACAAAACCCATTGTCTTCCTGAAAGTGGACCTAATTTATTATGTTCTCATTGCTATGTTCTATTCCCACATAAACATTTTTTTCTCTTAAAAAAAAATCTACCCATTTAACTCTACAAATTAGATGTATCATTGTCAATTTATGTCTGATACTAGTCTAGGCTTAGCCACAGTTCTATTATTTTCTGGACTATTTGTCTTGCTTCTCAGAACTTTTTTCAAGGATTGTTTTTCCTTGACCACATTCATTAAAAATGCCTTTAGTATAGTCTGTTTAGTAATGAATTTTCTCAGTTTTTATTTGTCGGAATCTGGCTTTATTTCACTCCAATTCTTGAAATATTTTTCCCAAGTCTCCAACTCTTAAGTTGATACTTACTTTCTCTCACTCTTTTATTCTACAATCTTCTAGCTTCCTTTGTTGTCATTAAGAAGAAACATATCTAACTGCTCTTTATTTATGTATAATCTGTTTTTCACTCAGGCAGCTTTTAAGATCTTTCCTTTTTCATTCTTTTGTTCAGTGCCTGTTATATGCAAATTGAATTTATCTTTATTTATACTGTGTAGTATTCATTTTGCTTCACATGTCTGAGAATTATTCTCTCTTATGAGTTCTGGGCATTTATGAGTTTTTATGTGTTTGTATTTTTACGTATATTTTTCATTGTGTTTTCCCCTCATTTTCTCACAGAATTCCAATGATACCCATATTAGACTGTCTCACTCTACCTTTCATTTCTCTTTATACTAATAGAAAACAAATAATTGTCATATTCAGATTAGACAAATTCAAAGAGAGGTTGCATAAATATTAAAAGCTGGACAAATGAAAGGGAACCATGACGCATACAGCAACCAAGTCTAGCAACGGTGAATCTGTTACCATTCCCAGGCCCTAAAGAATGAGGGGATGGAGTGGTTCCCAGAACTCAAAAGGAGAGTTATGTATTGCAGACCACATTGAGGTAAGCAGTGACCTTCTATGGAAAGACAAAGCTAGACTAAGGCAATTTGCAGAGAGGTACGAAGATTAACTATCCTTACTTTATTCTTTTTCCTCCCTCCAATCCTCTATCAGAGCTCTTATTAATTGCTCCCAACCAGAAGTGTAGGGCATGGGATAAAGTTCATATAAGTCAGAAGCCTGGGACAGACACATGGGTGGAGTAGAACAAAAATGCATACAAAGAGAAGAGAAAGTATCTCTCAGTACCTTCTCATTTTACATCTTTGTGTCTTTATGCTGGGTTCCATGTTATTTTTTTAGTTTATCACCCAGGTCATCAGTTCTCTCTTGAGTTGTAGCTACTATTCTTTAAATATGTCCACTGAGATTCTGATTTCAGTTTTTATTGTTTTACTTTTGTAGTTCTATACAATTTTTAAAATCCTTTATCTTTTTTATGTTTTAACTATGTAAAATACGATTGCTTTACATACTGTTTTTGATCGTTCCAATATATAAAGTCTTTGTAGAATGTGATTCTGCTTTTTTTGACTCTCTTGTGGTTGTGATTTTTATTGCGGGCTTGTGGTTTTTGAAATACTGACTGTAGGAATTGTTGAAGCCTGTGTTTAAATTGCTTTCTTTTAGATAACGCTTGCAGTTGTTTCACCTAGGTGACAATCTTTTTGGGAGGGAGACCTACTAATCTAGCTTGAGTGTGTTTAGCCCATATAAGAGTTGTGAAATTTGATCCCCAAAATGCATATGGTTGGAAATTCTCAATGAATATATTTATTTTTTACTGCTTCCTTCAGAGACTAGGCTGAGACATACAACTACTCCACGATCTTCCTCTGCAAAGCAGGTTTTCTGTAAGTTACCCACATGGTCGTGTTCCCTTTTGGGGACTCACGCTTTATTTTCAGGTCCCTGATGTCTCCTCCCACTCCACTGTACCTCATGCTTAGTCTCCTTTGCTCTGTTCAGACCAAGGAAGTTTTAACAGATTTTCTCAGGGCTAAAGCTATATTCCATGGTTGGTAACATCTTAAAGTTTGTAATGTCTTATTTCTGACCTATAAGGAATTCCATTACATTCCTGCTCTTCTCATCTAGGCACTTATTTATCGTTCTAATATTTGTATTCAACATTTTTAGGGACACTAAAATGTCTCTGGGCATCCAGTCTGTCCTACCAGCAGAAATGGAAGTCCATATTTACTTTTTAAAGCTCTGTAAATGTATTTGCTAAAGATTAAAAGAAAGAAATGGCATAACATCCATCTCTATAATAAAAGCTATATATTATACAAAATGGCCAGAAAATCTTTTAGTGTATAGTTTGAAACACTGGTCTTGTCCCATCAGGTCTGGTCTATCCTGATGAAGTATCGCGGGTAGACACAGTTCCTGCTTGTTAGCCTCTATCACACAGGTGCTGCAACTCTTATTTTCACCCAAATGGCTGTAGCTGTGGCTTTTCTAATTATCCCCCTCTCTCCGTAATGGTGGCTTCTAAAATGTGATCAGGAAATCATCTAGATCAACATAACCTGGGGACTCTCATAAAAAATGCAAATCGTAGGTTTATTTGGATTAAGTTTAAGAATTGGGTCTAGAAATCTTCAAATTAATTAGGCCTGTGATCAAGTTCACCAATTTATAAGATAAAAATTTGATACTAGAATCTTCATTCACTTTCCTAGTAGGTCCCTTGGGAAGGTCAAAGTAATCATGACTTCTTCCTATATGAAGCAGAAACTTTTAAGAGCCCTGTGATTTTACTGTTTAAAATGATTAAATATTTCAGAGCAACTCTAAATTTATTTCTTTTAATAAAACATGTAGGTATTAGCTACAGTCTAAAATTTAAAAGCTACAAAAATATCAATTATTTTGTGAGATACGCCACTTGTTCATTTTTAAAAACATACAAATCACTGTAAGGTAGAATAGTGAGAAAGATTTCAGCAGGTTATTAGTCCATTTTCACACTGCTATAAAGAAATGCCTGAGACTGGGTAATTTATAAACGAAAAAGGCTCAACTGACTCACAGTTCCACATGGCTGGGTAGGCCTCAGGAAACTTAAAATCGTGGTGGAAGGCGAAGGAGAAACAGGAACACTCTCCACAAAGCAGCAGGCGAGCGAGAGAAGAGCAAGCACATTGGAAACTACTCTTTATAAAACCATCAAATCTCGTCAGATTTACTCACTATCACGAGAACAGCATGGGAAGACTGCCCCCATGATCCAATCATCACCTCCCACCAAGTCCCTCCATCGACACCTGGGGATTACAAATCAGATTACAATTCAATATGAGATTTAGGTGGGGACACGGAGCCAAATCATTTCAAGCAGGTAATGAAGAATAAATGATGAGAAGTGAGGATGCGTGGGAAAATATATCAAAGAAAGGATAAGACGTGTGCAGCAGAGGCAAGGATGCTTATGCAGAATCGGAAGGACCCCAGTTGGAGAAAAGAATCCCTATTATATTAAATAGAAGTACAGAAGTCAGAACTAGAAAGGTAAGTCAGGGCTAGACTGTGGAGAGACTTCTAGACTCGCCGGACGACTTTGGAATTTCAGGGTATGGAAGATACTGTGGATCAGCTGAACCACTCCTAATCTCAACCCCCTTCTCACTTGTCTTATTTCCACTAAAGCCTATATAGGAGATAAATACTGACTATTCCAGCATCACAGTTAGATGTGGTCAGGTGAAACACTTCTTGAAAATGAGACACAAGTGAGAATCTCTGGGAAGTTTCAAGAAACGCTTTTGCTTTCCTATGAAGTGAGCAAATGGAAGTGTTACAGCCCCCTTTTGCTCCTTTTTCTTGTCCTGAGCTTTATACAATGTCTTTATCTGTCACGGCCCATCTTGTGGCCATAAGACTTAAAAACTCAACAGGAGAATAGAGCCAGCATGCTAAGTTGGAGGGAGACATTGCAGATCAGCTGAACCAGTGCCAGCGGCTAATCTCTAACCTTGATGTCTGTCATGTGAGAAAAATACATGCTTGTTGTTTAAACTGCTGTTGGTTGAGATTCCTGCTATTTGTAGCCAGACATGTTATTAATTATACCTAATGAATCTAGATAGTGTGGCTTTTTTTTTTTCTTGAGACAGGGTCTCTCTTTGTCACCTAGGCTGGAGTGCAGTGACATGATCATGGCTCACTGCAGCCTCGGCCTCCCAGTAGTCAAGTGATTCTCCCACCTCAGCCTCCCATTCAGCTGGGACCACAGACATGCACCACCATGCCTGGCTTGCCATTTATTTGTTCATTATTTGTAGAGTTGGGAGCTCCACTGTGTTGTCTAGGCTGGTCTCGAACCTCTGGGCTCAAGCGTTTTTCCCTCCTTGGCTTCCCAAAGTGCTGGGATTACAGGTGTGAGCCATCGCACCCAGCATAGATGGTGTGACTTTTAATCCATAACGTTAGTATGAAAGAAATACCATTTTTCCTTTGTTTTTCAAATGGATGTAAATGTTTCAATGCCTCAGACGTCTAACTGGTGGACAATTCTACTTCAGTCATGTTTGGGGGATGCCCTACTTCCACCTTTAGGATAATGCAAAACGTTTGCTGTTTTAAATAGTGACAAACATTAGAGGAAAGGACTTCATGCATGCTTTGCTTAGTAGCTGCCAATGATACACCTCTGTCCATGCTTCACTATCAAACTTGGCCTTGAAATCTTTGCCATGGCTCCCACAGGTCTTACCGTTCAACCCTCTCTGACATTCTTCAACACACCATCCCGTGTGTGATCAGGGACAGCTCTGCATGGGAGCAGACAGCTGAACTTAGATAGTTTCAAAATCCATAGGTGTCTTGTCCGACTTTTAGGCATGAGGTAAGACCTCTAAATATTTCTAGACCCAGCTACTTCAGGTCCCCAACCAAATAACTCCTGCCTCTAAACCATTCCTTCTGAAACAATTCTCCCTAAAACCTCTCAGTATGCATAAGCTTTGAAAACTTAGATATTAGTATAGCTTGCCTGGAAAATTCACATTTGGGCTCTGTAACATAAAATCCTTTAAGGCAGGGGGCGAAAGAAGCTTTAGTTACCTTCTTGGGATGAGGGAATTGGTGATAGGAAAATTATACAGAGCAAAGAGAAGAAAACACATCATATCATTTTAAAAGGTTATTGTATCCCACCCAGGTTGTAGTGAGTCATCAAAGATTTTTAAGCAAATCAGTAGAATTTTTTAAATGATTAATCAGTGGTAGTAGCGATATGAATTAGGAAGGCTGACTCTTTTGTTTAGAGCCAAAAATAAGGTATCATTTAAAAGTGAATAATCTAAAATAATTTTGTAAATATGTTTCTTTCAGAGCAAAAAAAATGTTACCTGCATGCAAAAGACATACCAAAATACTATCACAGATGGGTGTTCTGATATACCATAGTTAAAAACTGGAAACACGTACAAGTGAATGGATGAACAAAATGTAATATATTCACATAATGCACTGTTAGCAATAAAAAGGAATCATCTATCGATACTTGCACTAACACACATGGATTTTAAAATAAGTGTGTTGAGCCTGGGCGCAGTGGCTGACACCTGTAATCCCAGCACTTTGGGAGGCCGAGGCAGGTGGATCACCTGAGGTCAAGAGTTTGAGACCAGCCTGTCCAACATAGTAAAACCCTGTCTCTACTAAAAATACAAAAAATTAGCCAGGTGTGGTGGTGGGCGCCTGTAATCCTAGCTACTCGGGAGGCTGAGGCAGGAGAATCGCTTGAACCCGGGAGGCAGAGGTTGCAGTGAGCCGAGATCGTGCCATTGCACTCCAGCCTGGGCAGCAAGAGCGAAACTCCATCTCAAAAACAAAAATTAATAAATAAATAAATACATAATAAATAAATGTGTTGAATGAAGGCAGGCCAATAAAGCATGCATACTGTATGGTCCCATATACACACATGCATCACTTAACAACAGGGACATATTCTGAAAAATGCGTCCCTATGCGATTTCATCACTGTGCAAACACCATAGAGTGTACTCATGTACCTAGATGACTGAACTTTCTACACCTCTAGGCTGTATGGTACAGCCTGTTGTTTCTAGGTTACAGACCTGTGCAGCACATCACTGTACTGAATACCATTGTGTTACAATGGTAAGTACTTGTGTATCTAAACATATCTAGGCATAGAAAAGTTACAGTAAAAATATGGTATAAAAGGTACAAAAGTGGTTTACCTGTATAGGGCACTTACCACAAATGGAGCTTAAAGGACTAGCAGTTATTCTGGGTGAGTCAGTGAGTATCGAGTGAGTGTTAAGGAGTAGGACATTACTGCACACTACAATAAACCATAAACACTGGACACTTGGGTGCACTAAATGTGTTAAAAAATGTTTCTTTCTTCAATAATAAATTAACTTTCGCTTACTGTAACTTTTTCATTAAAAGTTATAATGTTAAATCTTTAAATGTTAAAATCTCTTTGACACTTTTGTAGTAAGGCTTAGCCTAAAACATAACCACGTTGTACAACCGTACAAAATATTTTCTTTCTCTATACCCTTACTCTGTAAGCTTTTTTCTTTTTTTTTTTTTGTTTACTTTTTAAACTTTTGATGTTAAAAACTAAGACAAACACACACACATTAGCCTAGGCCTACAGAGGGTTAAAATCATCAACATCACTGCCTTCCACCTCCACATTTTGTCGCAGTGGGAGGCCTTGGGAGGCAATAACATGCATGAAACTGTCATCTCCTGTGATAAAAATGCCTTCTTCCAAAACGCCTCCTGAAGGACCTGTGTGAAGCTGTTTCGCAGTTAACTTCTTCTTTTAATAATTAGGAGGATATTGTAAAACAACAATAAAAAGTATAGTAAATACATAAACCAGTAACATACTCATTTATTATCATGATCAAATATTACGTACTGTGCATACTTATATGTGCTAGATTTTTATAAGACTAGCAGCGGCCGGGCGCGGTGGCTCACGCCTGTAATCCCAACACTTTGGGAGGCCGAGACGGGCAGATTACGAGGTCATGAGATCGAGACCATCCTGACTAACACGGTGAAACCCAGTCTCTACTAAAAATACACAAAAAATTAGCCAGGCATTGTGGCGGGTGCCTGTAGTCGCAGCTATTCGGGAGGCTGAGGCAGGAGAATGGGGTGAATCCGGGAGGCGGAGCTTGCAGTGAGCCGAGATCGCGCCAGTGCACACCAGCCTTGGCGACAGAGGGAGACTCCATCTAAAAAAAAAAAAAAAAAACTAGCAGCACAGCAGGTTTTTCTACACCAGTGTCGCCACAAACACATGAGCAATGCATTCTGCTACAAAGTTAGGATGGCCATACGTCACTAGACAATAGGAATTTTTCAGCTCCATTGTAATCTTAGGGGACCCCCATCCTATATGCAGTTCATCATTGACTAAAACGTCATTATAGGACGCATGACTGTAAATATAAAATTCTAGACAATGCAGGCTAAGCGACAGTTACAAAAAGCATACCGGTTGATTGGGTGGGGCAATGGGAAAGTGTGAGAAGGATAAAATAACGGCACAGGGAAACCTTCAGGGGTGACAGATGTGTTCCGCATTTTGATTATGATGATTTATTAAGTGTACATTCATGTCAAAATTTATCAAATTGTATACCTTCAAAGTATACAATATATTTGGATGTATACAACTACCTCATTACAGCTGTTTAAAGGGGTATTTTGTTTGTTCTTTTTTTTATAATCCGCACATAAGCTTTATAAACATTAACCATGTAAAACTTACAACAATACAAATAACAAATTTTAGAAAGTGGAGAGAGGGAGGAAGTCAGGAGGTCACGTAGCTGTACTAATTTAGCTTTCATAATAGGAAGTAAATTGATTCTGTCCAGAATTAAAACAAGTAGTAAGAAAAAAAGAGAGCCTCATAGTGACCAACGTCTTTTCTTTATTGCACTCAACATTATTTCACAGGGCCACTGTTGTCTCACCTTAATTTGTTAATACATTTCCACTTATAGCCAACCTATATATTTTAAATAAGCATTTAATACGAAGCTTTTCCTTCCTTAGTACTTTTAGGATTTGTTCCCTAATTCATAGACTAAACTAGACCCAATTCCTGCTTTATTTTCTCATGACCTCTTTTATGTCCCTTCATTTTAAGTTAATTTGATTTCTTAATGTATCAGCAGAAAGTAAAAGAGGAGTTTCAGAAAACTTTGAAAACACAAGTCATTGTTGTTAATAATTACGCACAAATGAAATGCTTCAATTCTGATCACTCTGCTAAAAGTTAGGCTGTAAAGGTGAATAAATCAGTCCCTACTGTGGACGTTATCATTTAGTTAAACCATTACGTCTAAAACTGGTGTTTAATTTTCCTCTACTTTTGGATATACTTCTCTGTTGTGTTCATAGGTGCTGAAAGTAATATACACACCGTTGGAAGGATTATAACAATTATTTAGAAAAAATAAAACCACAAATAAAAATTTTAAAACATTGGCTGAAATATTTCGTACATAGAAACATATCTGGGGTCCCAAATTCACATTTTGAAAAGGATCACTTTTACATCCTAGTGTGTCTTGATACTTAGAACTTGTACTTAGTTCTTGTAATTCTCTGCCAAGTCATTAAAAATTAATTCAAAAAGTGTTATTAGCATTTTGCTGGCTCTTGAGGTTATGAGGATGATTATTATATATTCCAGGCTTCAAGAGCTCTCAAACAAGTGAGCGAGGCAAATATAACCACCCTAAAAGACAGATAATAGGCCAAGCTCAGTGGCTCACACCCGTAGTCCCAACACTTTGGGCACCTAAGGAGGGAGGATCACTTGAGGCCAGGAGTTGGAGACCAGCTTGGCCAACCTGGTCTTTACTAAAAATACCAAAAAATTAGCCAGTCGTCGTGGCATGCCTGTAGTCTCAGATAGTAGAGAGGCTGAGGTGGGAAGATTGCTTGAACCTAGGAGGTAGAGGATGCAGTGAGCTGAGATCTCACCACTGCACTCCAGCCTGGGAGACCAAAAAAAAAAAAAAGATAGATAACATTGTCTTCCTTATACAGATAAGAAACTGAGACACAGAGAAGTTAAGTAATTTTCCAGAGCTCACACAGCTAGTAGTAAAGCCTTTTACTATGAGCTACTTACTATAATTATAAGAAAGAGACTTCACAGTATAAAATGTAGACCTGTAATTATTAGGAACCAAAGGCCAGAATATTTGAAACCAGCTTTATTCTGGAAAACTTGGGGTTTATTGATATAGTAACTATACTAGAAGCAAATTATCACAACTACTATACAAAATAGACAAAATGTTGTGGGGCATGAATAAAGCAGTTAATAATACTTTAAAAGCACATTTATTAACAATTTTTAAACATAGGCAAATGTAAAGGTAAAACAAATGGCTCTAAAATCTCAGTATACAAATAATCTCAACTGACATTCAAAAATAAGGTAAAACAAATACAAGTAATATATGTGCATGATTAGAAACTCAAACAATGTGGATAGAAATAAATTTAAAAAAAGACCCTCACCTTCACTAACTTTGTTCCAAAGTAAACACTGTTAAGAGTTAAAATGTCACCATGTACAATGTCTTCTATGAAAATTATGTAAATATATGCATCTACATACATATGATATTGGAATGAAAACAATAACACAATTATACACATCGTTCTGCACCCTGATTCTTAGATGTTTTAATAAATCTTGGAACTACATTTATTTCAGGACAATTTCATTGCTTTAAATACTACATAGTATTTTGTTTCATGGATATATCATAATATATGAAAGAAGTGAGTCATTATTTCAAACAAAGTTTATGGTGATTTGTACCTAAGAAGACTTAAATCATGTTCAATTGCCTAAGAAGAATTTTTGCGATGCTTCTCGGTTTTCAGTGACACCCTGCTGATCGTCCAGCAGATGGCGACATAACAACATGCCAGGAAATGCAAAGTAACAAACAAGATGCTAAGATGTATAAAATTAGTAATCAGGGCTGTCTCCTTTCCATAGAGAAAAAAAAAAATCAGAAGTGACCATTTTTTCATGGTTTAAATATGATTCCAGACAACATAAGTTTATATGTGCTTCAGTAGTTGAAGTGTTAGTTAAAAGTCTTGCAGAAAAGCAGGCACCGTAGGAAATGGGTCAGAGGAAGGACCTGGGCACTTGTAGTGAAAACAGCAGCATTTTTTTGTTTGTTTGTTTTTTGTTTTCTTGAGACGAGTCTCGCTCTGTCGCCAGGCTTGAGCGCAGTGGTGCAATCTCAGCTCACTGCAACCTCTGCCTCCCGGGTTCAAGAGATTCTCCTAGCATCCCAAGAGATCCTCAAAATGATTTTATGAGGTCAGTCTAAGTTATCGTCAGTTACAAATAAGAAAACTGAAGTGTTCATGCATTGCAAAGGCTTAATGTAGAAAGAGAACAGGACTTCTCACTCCAAAATATTGAGTTCTCAATCCACCGATTTATTTTCTGGGTGGACAGTTGCTTTTGTTGTTGGTTATTTTTCTTACGTGCTCGTGCATGCAAACTATAATATGTTTAAGTTAAGAAGAGGTAATACATCAGTATTCAACCAATCCAACCCACATTAAATCTCCCCCAATTGAGACAAGAGGAAAGGAAAGAAAAAAAGGAGACATAAAGGAGAATCCGAAGGGACTACAAGGAAAGGGAATGAAGATGGAGGAGGCAGGAAAAATGGAAGGACTGAGATGCAAATACATTTGGACAGACTTTCAGTTGGGTTTAGAATCACTGCTAAATACTGATTACACACTCTACATATTGAACTTGTTATTCATAGCCCAGAAAAATATTTTACCTCCTCTAATTCTTGAATGTCTTTACGTAGGGAATATATGAGATGTGTGCCTGTGTAAAATGTTTGAAAGATACATATTACAGTATTTGAAGTTAATGTCACCCCGAAATGGCCATGTCGAACTCCATTCTTTACCAGGTTTTGAATCCTATTTCTCATCTGCAAAACTGGGAATTTAAAAATGCAGCATTACTGTGAGCCTTAAATACAATTGTCACATGGGAGGTGCACAAGAATTGTTAATTTCATTTCAGCTGGTACCCAACGCCTGTATACCACGGAATTAAAAGCTGTGCCTGTGTGATCTGACTCGTGTATTTTCTCCAGCCTTACACTGTTTCCTGTTCTTCCTTCAGCAACAGCAACACGCTTCCAAGTCTTCGTTTTTTTATTGTTTTGTTTTGTTTTGTGGGTGTGTTTTTTATTTCACTTCGCTCTTTTCCTCATTAAACCTCTTCTTATGTGATTGGATATTTTTTTGTTACACCTCTTCTTCCTGCTAAACTGTAAACACCAAGAAGTTAGGAATCATTCTCGGTTCACCCCCATCCTTGGGTGCACAGCTCAGAGCACAGACACTAATATATTGCAGATATACAACTAAACTGTGTGATGTACATTATGTTAGGCAAATTAGTATGGCTCATTTAGTCAAGGGAATAGTTATCCAAGAGTTGAATTTTGTGTGGGAAATAAGGTGACAGCTTCAAAGTGAAAATGCTTTCTAATCCCTTTTATCACCCTCTCTTAGAACAGAAATTTTAGGTGCAGGGTGTCATCTGCCCACTTTACTCTCAGCTTAAAGCAGGTTAAAAGATGACATCCAATCACATACTAATTTGAGGCACTAAATAGGCCGGATTTTTCTTTAGATACCCACCAAACAAAGCAGAATAATTTGCAGACAAAGAAGCTTGAAAAAAGAGATTCTTCAACTATACCAATTTCCTCCTCAACATTATTTCTTCCTGGAAATGATGTTCACACATCTTGATGTGTCTTACTTAAGCATAATTGACAAGTGTCATAATTAGATCATTCCAACTCTTCCACAAGAAAAGATACCTTTTAAAGAATATCACTGGGTAGATGTCAAAGTATACATTTCTGTAAGAGGAGATTGGACTAGGCATCTCTCATAACTAATTTGGTTGAATTTTACAAAAATCCTTGAGCTTTCTTCAATAAATGAGAAAGTCACTTTGTAATTAGATTCTTATTTCTATTCAATATGAGGGTCATGCCATGTTCCCTGACCTGGGATGGAGAACAAATGAACAAAAGAGATAAACCTCTGTCTTAATTGCAATTATCTTCTGCATCTCAATCCTCTCCCTAAATTTATTCATTTTGATTCCAATGTTTTCAAACAAAAGAGAAATCACAGGGCTTCTCTGCTTTACCTTCCCATAAATTAAACCAAAAAATTAATGAACACACACTGAACTACAGGATGGTAGATTTTTTTTTCTGCTCTAAAATATGAGGAAATTCTGGCGGGACAAGGTGGCTGATGCTTGTAATCCCAGCACTTTGGGAGGCCGAGGCGGCCGGATCACCTGATGTCGGGAGTTTCAGACCAGCCTGACCAACATGGAGAAACCTCGTCTCTACTAAATATACAAAATTAGCCAGGCATGGTGGTACATGCCTGTAATCCCAGCTAGTCGGGAGGCTGAGGCAAAAGAATCTCTTGAACCTGGGAGGTGGAGGATGAGGTGAGCAGAGATTGCACCATTGCACTCCAGCCTGGGCAACAAGAGTGAAACTCCGTCTTAAAAAAAAAGGAAATTCTTAATGGAATGGTAATTATGGTTATAATTACCATTCCAAGACTTTAGATGTTTTCTCTATCTTTAATAGAATGTTATTATAAGTTGTATATTTACAAATTTCAAAGATATACAGTGATTAAAATGCAAATTCATTAGGACACTTATGAAACCTTTAAAAGAAGGCTGGGTTGCACTCCGGCATAAAAAAAATGCCACAAGGTGGCACTCCTTCTTAATGTTAGACTCTTTAAAAACAAATAAATTATTCTGAATTGTGTTAGATTTCCAGACTAAGACTGACGTTTCACCATATTATTCTAATCTCCAATAATTGCATTAGCTTGGTGTTTTGTGAGGTTAGTTGATTCATTTTAAGTGACCTAAAGCAGTTATTGTACCACAAGTTTTAATAAATGCGTTTCATGACAATGATGCTACCAGGCATTTCTGAATATGAAGCACATTGGTTAAAGAAACATCTCAATAGACAAAGCACAGGCTCTGGAGCCAGAAGTCTCGGGTTTGGGTTTCGTCTTTTTTAATTTATTCTCTGAATAAACTGAAAACATGCTAAACTTAATGAGTCACAATTAACTCATCTAGAAAATGATTATCATTGAGCATTCCTCATCGTTGCACATTGCCCTGTTCATTAAATTACATAATGTACAGAAACACTGAACGTAATAGGTTTTTTGAAAGCTGTACCCTCATGCACACATACCCTAAAATGCTGGTACTTGTGTAACTTGTCTTTATAATTTTGTATATATTATCTGAAATAAATATTTTACAATAATTTGTGTAAGGCTTTTTAACACAAAACTTCTTTGAGCTGGCTGTGGTGGTGCATGCCTGTAATCCCAGCTGCTTGAGAGGCAGAGGTAGAAGGATTGCTTGAACCCAAGAATTTGAGACCAGCCTGGGTGTCACAGCAAGTGCTCATCTCTAAACAACAACAACAAAAAATAATAAAAATAAAACAAAGAAAACCTTTTCTTTAAATTATTAAACCAAGAAAAACATCTATATCATATTTAGGATATTATGAAAATCGACATGATATTTAGCCAAATTTTTGAGTGCCTACTATATGCCAGGCACCTGTATTCCAGGTGCTCAAGACAAACAGTGAACAGAGAGCAACATCTGCCTAGCAGGAAGTAGTCAATAAATGGAAATAGAAGACGAAGTCGTGTGACAGGCAGTGAAGTAGTGTAGGATAGCCAAGAAGGCTTCCTGAGAGATGATATTTGCACCAAAATCTCAATGCTGACAAAATGACAACCTTGCTAAAATTAAGAGAAAGAGAAATTGAAGAACAAGTTGCTGCAAAGGTCCTGGCAATGCAATTCTCTTTCACTGACAACAGGAAGAAAAGAAAGTTTGAATGTGGAAAGAGTCGTGAATCAATCAAAGAGTGGAGAGAGAAAAGCTGGAAATGTGGGTAAGAACCAGGTCATACAGGCTGTTGAAGGTCTTATGAGCAGCTTAGATTGTATTCTGAGATTAGATAGCTCTGGGGTTTTAAACTGAAGCGTGATTTAATTGTACTATTGTATGTGTATTTTGGATTCATAAACATGAACATGATATAAACAAAAAATGATGAATTGATGATGAAATGCATTGCTTAGTTATATTGCTTAATAATTCCCAAACTAAGCTTGTTCATAACTAGAAACATTTTACTTTCTGAACATTGAAGAATAAACATTTGGTCTTGTGGTTTCATCATATTTTAACAGTTGCTTATAAGGGAACACACATCAGACCACACGGCACTAATGTCCATGTAGTAATATGTATTTTCTTGTGTCTCAAAGATAATACCTAAAATCTAAAAATGTGTGCTTTCCCTTCCAGAAGGTGGAGGCCTTGGCCCAGCCCATGTTGAATCCAGGTAAAGCCATGTGACAAGTACTCACAAGAGAACATGAATGGAAGTGATGTTTGTTTCTTTTGGGTTAGGGCCTTAAAGATGCTGACAAGTTTCCTCCACTCTCTTTTTCCCCTTCTTCCACTGGAAAGGGAAGGCCAATCAATTTTGTATTTGTTAAGCAGTACAAGTATTTACAGGCCATTTTCCAATTATCCAATGATTGGCTATGTTTGAGAAATTATTTTACGTGGTTTTGGAAGCAGATTTTTCTTTTGAAAGACAGCTATTCTTAGTAGAAAGTCATGGGCCAATTTACTTGTCCTAAAATTATACTGAAATACTGAATATATCTAGTGGAAAAGATAAGGAATACAACATTAATACATAGATGGTATGCAGCTACTCAAACCAGAGGGGACAGGGAAGCTACAAAATGGAATGACTCAGTTCCCTAAATTGCTGGCTAGAAGAATGCAGCTGGGCAAACTGAAGCACCCTCTTTACAGGTCCTTTTCTTCCATGAAGTTCTATTCAATTCCTTCAATTGCTGGATAGAAGAACACAGCCCGGTGTACAGAAACGCCCTCTTTACAGGTCCTTTTCTTCCATGAAGTTCTGTTCGGTTCCTGCCAGAAAACTACTGCCCTCAATGTGCCATGCTCAAGACTACCCTCCTCTGTCAAACCTGACTCCTGCTTTCTATCTTTCCCCACAGAGAACCCATTGCCTCCCTTTACTGCCTGGAGAATTGGGACTGGGGGATTGGAGATGGGGGAGAATGAAAATTGTAGTGATCATTTTCTCTGAGGGATTTTTCCCCCACACACTCAGTTCTTACTTATTAAACGGCTTTTGTATGTCTTAGGAATAAAAAGCCATTCTTCCTGGGTGTCTTCTTCCTGCTAGCAATGGAGCTCTACCTGGTCTCGTCAGCAATCACGTCATTAAATCTGACTGGCAACTTGCAGAGGATGGTGGGGCCGAGAGACAACAGGT
This sequence comes from Homo sapiens, assembly GCF_000001405.40. NCBI lineage: Eukaryota > Metazoa > Chordata > Mammalia > Primates > Hominidae > Homo > Homo sapiens. The sequence goes on along the minus strand of NC_000008.11, from coordinate 13,656,824 downwards.
CAAGTTTTCGAGGGTATGTCCTCTGAAACTCAGGCAGGAGTTCAGGTAGTAAGAATTTGAAAGCTATCAAAAACAGAAGTGGGCATTCTCCTTCTTGCTGAATGAGCTACTCATTCAGGAAAGCCAGTGTTGAGTCAGAGATTTAATAAAGACATGCAACAAGTAGCTGAAACTTTAGGAAGATAACAAAGCCACTTCCTGAAGAAACCAAGCATTGGCAACAAACTGAGCAGGTGGAGGGAAACTGTCCAGATCTCATAAAGATGCTGGCAGTGTAGATTAGGTTACAGCTTCCATTTTTAAAAGATTTCTCAGATTTCTGTCATATTCTCACTGAACGGTTTCTATCCTAATCTCAAAGGGCCTAACATGTTCAAAGAAAAAGAGATCAGGAAGGAGCAAGGAGGACATTAAAAGGGCATTGGGCAGCGACAATATCTCACCAGGGATTAATAATACCAGGTGTAGGGTATTAATCCCTGCCACCAGGTTTAATATTAGATTTCACATAGTGTCTGGCACCTAATAGCTGCTGAAAGCATGAGTGTTGTGTGAGTGTATAAATGGGTGAGTGGGTGACGATTGAATGAATTAGTAAATCAAAGTATAAATATTTAGCTTCCTGGTTATGAATTTTAGGCAGAAAAGTGAAGATGGAAGTATCCAGATTCATCTGATGATCCTCACTCAAAGACTTGTCTTCCTGCACCATCCTCCTCCGTTTAAGAGTGATTATTTGAGGAGCACCTTGTGATGTTGAAAAATAAGAGTTGAACACTGACAAGCTAAAGATTACTGGAGATTAAGGAAAGTGCGTGGAGTAAGATTTCAAGTCACCTGGAGCCAAGGATATAGTGAACCAATTGAGTACTAAGACATACAGCAAGAAAAAAAAATCTAATTTTATCTTCAAGGAGATGAAAGAAAGAAGAAGGAAGTTTTGGGACAAAAACAATCAAATACTAGATTTGATGTTAAATAAAAATCTCTTTGTAATTCAATGCCTACCCCACACTCACATTCTCAACCCTACTTTTTTCGTTACCATCAATGCATCATTACTGTATTCCTTTTTCTCCACGAGAAATACTCAATATTTCAACACAATTGTGTGATAAATAAATTGGCCTATGACTTCTTATTAAGAAGAGCTGTGTTTCAAAGAGAACTATGTTCCCACAATCACTTAATCTCTTGGAGCATAGCAAATCACCACATAATTGAAATATGGCTGTAAAGACTTGTGTTTGCTTAATAAACACAAAATTGATTGGCCTAAATGGATTTTCTACTTATTTTAGGGAAAAACAACAAAAGACAAAAAGTGAATATTTTAAAAAGAAAGAACTATGTACAATTTTTGAAAATGTATGGAAAACCAGAGTATTTTACAGATATTTTTACTGCTTTTGCTAATATCAAATTTAAAGGGATATTGGAAACACATATAAGCAATTTAACTGATTTATGTTAAGTACAACGGTGTTCTTAAAGTATGTTTTTAATTTACTTAATTGTCTCGCCTAAATCTAGATCTTGTCCAGGTCAGTTCTTTTAGAAGACCTCTGGAGGGCAATGTCTCATTTAAATTATAACTGAAGGCACTCTAAGGTTTTATTGGCAGTGTACCTTAGCAAGTGAATCCTATTGAATTAAAGCGCCAGATAAGTAACCACTGCGTATATAACTTGGCTTTTAGCAGACTGAAAAAAAAAATATATACCTAACCAGCAAAGTCAGAATGAAATGCTTCCTTTGAGCCTACATTGAACCCCTTTGATGGTTTACACACCTTCAACAAATTCTCAAAGTCATTGGTTTAACCACTCTTGGACGCACCCGGCTGAGTTGGATGAAAACTTCAGTTTTGTGTTCTTTTCACTTGAAAGCTGTATGTCTATTCTCAGCATCATGCATGTTATTTTTTTTTTTCCATTCTTAACAGTATTCCTCATTTACAAAACAAAAACGATAATAATCAGAAATAGTCCTATAAAAATGTTAATTTTGTTTAGCCATTGACTGATCTTTCTCTAACCTTAACACTTTGTGATTATTGACTTTTGTTGCATTTAACACTCCCCAATTATCTAGCCATTTCGAATATCAACATTATCCCAGTGTAATTGATTTTTTAATACATCACTCTATGTTACTGTTTTATGCCTTCATATTAGCAAAATATGAATTTCTGTTAAAAAAAAAAAAACACCTCTGATCATTTAAAAAATCCCTCTGCAGCAAAACACAATTTTTTTTTTTTTTTTTTTTTTTTTTTTTTGTAGAGACGGAGTCTCGCTGTGTTGCCCAGGCTGGAGCGCAGTAGTTCGATCTCGGCTCACTGCAACATCCCTCCTCCTCCCGGGTTCAGGCAATTTTCCTGCCTCAGCCTCCTGAGTAGCTGGAACTACAGGTAAATGCCACTACGCCTGGCTAATTTTTTGTGTTTTTTTTTTTTCAGTCGAGACGGGGTTTCACAGTGTTGCCCAGGCTGGTCTCGAACTCCTGAGCTCAGGCAATCCAACTGCCTCGGGCTCCCAAAGTGCTAGGATTACAGGCGTAAGCCTGGAGACTGGTTTTAGAACTTCTAGTAACCTCAAAACTGCATAGCTAGACTGAATGTTGTCATTGATCACAGGGCATCAGACAAATATGGATTCAAATTTGTGAAACCTTAAGCTAATTACTTAAACTCTCTAGGTTTGGTTTCCTCATTATTAAAATGAGAATAACATCTAACTCAAAATAGTTGTGGTGGAAATTAATGAGATGATGCAGTAAAGCAGTAAGCACAGTGTCTGACACAGTCAAAGCTAAATGGCAGCTACTATGACATCTCATTCTGATTTTAAGTGTGAGCCCTGACAAATTGCCACCCAAGAACTAATCTAACGTAATACCTTGAAATACTCTTCTCTTCTCTCCTTCATTTCACCTGTTCCTTTGCAGTCTACATATATTCTTCAGGAGCCACCTAGAGTTTTTCTGTTGAAGAATTTTCCAAATTTCAGGATCAATTTGAGTTGTCCATTCCCTTTGCTCCAAACTCTATTGATCCTTCTATTACAGCCTTGATGTATTTTTACTTACCTGCACATCAGCATCTTCCAATAGGCTATGAAATTTGCAAAGTCACAAACTGCATTTTATGCACTTTTGCCTTCCCAGAAGCAAAAGCATGACACATAGTCTGTACTCGGTAAAGGTTTGCAAGAAGGAATGAATGAATGACCCATGACTGACCTCACCTTGACCACATTTCCAATCTCATGATTCCCACAGTCCTTTCTGAGTAGATTGCAAAATCAATCCGCTCTGCACTTTTCCCAGGGTGATGGGAGGAACTGCTTATCTAGTACCCTTTGATTTGGGGCCAGAAGGAATTGCTTTTGGGAAGATTGCCCTGCTGAAAACAGTAAACCTTTTACTCTGTTATTTTTTCTTGATTTCCTTTTTCAAACTTTCTTTGTTATAGCAGGCTAATAAGGATTTAAGCCATGTTTCTGTGCCCACTCAATGCTTCTGCCAAAGGTCAGAAAGGATATGCAAAATTGGAAATAGCCTTGCTAGATTTCTGGCATTATGGATAATTAAATTTTTATGGTGTTATTTACATTTTACAATTAAGAAACAGAAAAGAACTGCCCACGACTGAAGAAAAAAAAAAAGTCCCCGTACTCTATTAAACCCTATTTTTCCACTATAGCAAAAATCATGTGACCAATGTGTTTAAAAAAAAAAGTCACAAAAGATAATGGCAGTTACCTGGCATTTTGAAGATTAAAGGACAGATTGATTTTTATTTTTGTTTCTGTGTTTTTACTTTTCAAATGAAAGTTGTGTGCTTTAGGTGATAAGATTCAATTATTTAGCTGAATAAAAAACATAATCTCTACATTCCTGTGTTCAAATAAAATCTGCAGTCACACTTTTTAAAGGATTGAGATAATAATTACCTCTTATACCTCGGAACCACCCTGAATGAAATTCAAATCTATTACTTGATGGAATCGGTCAAATTGAAGTACGTCTTGGCCAAAATTTAATGGTGGCTTGGAGAGACTGGAGAAGTTCTACAGGAATTTCATGTGTCTAAAAGGTGTGAAAAAATAACGTATTCAAGGAAATTTCAAAAATTGGGATTATCAGGCAGAAGAGAATTTTGCAAGAGTAGGATAATAAGACATAATAGGATACCCTCAATACATAAAGTGTCTCTAATATATAAGGCTTTCTCACCAGCTGTCTTCACTACTATAGAGAGGGGCACATGCTTGCCTGCCGTCTTGGCCCAGGCAGAATCCCAGGGAGCACCTTCTCCTATAAGGATCGAGAAAAGTTTATTGATTGTCTCAGCGTGTGCCTGCAAATGGACACTCCATAATGAGCAATGATTTAATCTTCTATAGATTTGGTTCTAAGTTTAAAAAATAATTTTGAGTTAAGGTGCTTTGGGGGCAGCTCACCATTAACCCACACACTGCCAGCACCTTCTAACTCTAATTTGCAATCCTAGATGTCATACATGGAAAACATCTTATGAAGAATTAGCTTCATCTTCAAATAAGGAGTAAAGTTCTTGTCACATTCTCTACAGATTTCAGAAGCTAACTGCACTCTCAGATGGTTTGTTTGGGCCATATTTAATAATTCAAGCAGATTATCTTCATTAGCACAGTCTTTTCTTCTCTCCTTCTCTCTTCTTTCCTTCTCTTTTACCAATTCTCAATGTTTTCTCTTGTTTCTCTTATTAGTACCTAGTTATGTGGAAAAGGCTACAAATTCCACAGTAATTGGCTCTCATTTATATTACTCCAAATTGTGTTTCTCCATAGCACACAAAAATTGGGAATTTGATGCAACTGAACTAAAAGAAACACAAAAACGCACTTAATAAGTGTTAGTCTAGACTAGCTTCCTAGAGCACTCCCTATTTTTCCCCATGCTCCAACCATCTGGTGTTTATGTGACATTCACAGATTTGGGGCCATTTACCATTATCTTCTATGTAATAAAAGTGAGTTACATTAAACATGCTAAAGCAAATTAAAAGGATCAGAATCAGAAAGCACCCTTGAGTAAACACTGGATGGTATGCATTTTATAGTTGCCTGTTAAGAAAATTATTTGAGATTTGCAAAAGTTTTCCATAGAGAGAGCAAAAATGGAAATTGTGTGACCAGCGAAAAACAAGGAACTCAAATAAAAGAAATCAAGAGGGGACTCAGGACTACATAATGACTTACCACGGCGCGTTAACCAAAATCAATTTCAATATGTAATATCTTGATTCAAGGGCATGTTTAAAATGCCTAGAAACTCAAAGTCAAAACTTAACACAAATCTACTTTTTTTTAATGAAAAAGTAAATATATCTACTAAGAGTCTGCATGTTCCTTCACTTGGTCCCTCACAGATGTAGAAGTTCTTGGGTTCTTTTCAAGCTCATGTCTCTAGAGTGACATGCTGTGAAAGTTATTATTAGCCAAGCAATACAAATGTGCCAATTCATTTTGCGTAGTATTAGCGTTCTAGAATATAAAGATTGCCAAAAATATGAACAAATTGCTACAAATAATCTTGAATAATAAACATCATATTTCTTTGACTTTTCTACAAGTTATTTCAATGAAAATTACTCAGAGGTTAACAGATAATCTGACATTAAGAAATGACAATAATGGTATGTAATTTATCACTTAAAACCACTGAATATTCCCAAAATGAAGTGAATTGAAACCTCACAATATTGAATAATTATTTAATGTTAACAAAGAACACAGTATATTCAGATGTTGTGCAATTTATGGTGCATGTGATATTTATTAGTATTTGGCTGGCTGAGTCTATAATTCTTCCAATTTTTGTTTAACTAAAATTGTTCTGAATTGAGTTTAGTGAGCAAGATGAGTTCTCATTTTATTAACAAAGTTTCCAGCACTTAATAATAAAAATTTGTGACATAATTTTAAAAATATCTTTATTGCCTAGCAATGAGAAAGAACATGCCACTAAGATAAATAAATATCGACTGAGGCACACTCCAGAAAATTACCACAATGTTTTCCTTTCATCAATTCTAAACCCATTAAATCCATTAAAAAAAACTCTTTTTTTAATAATCAAAGGTAACAGCACTATTTCTTTTTTTAAATTTTTTTAAATTATACTTTAAGTTATAGGGTACATGTGCACAACGTGCAGGTTTGTTACATAAGTATACATGTGCCATGTTGGTGTGCTGCACCCGTTAACTCATCACTTACATTAGGTATATCTCCTAATGCTATCCCTCCCCACTCCCCCCACCCCATGACACGCCCCAGTGTGTGATGTTCCCCACCCTGTGTCCAAGTGTTCTCATTGTTCAGTTCCCACCTATGAATGAGAACATGCGGTGTTTGGTTTTCTGTCCTTGCAATAGTTTGCTGAGAATGATGGTTTCCAGCTTCATTCATGTCCCTACAAAGGACACGAACTCATCCTTTTTTATGGCTGCATAGTATTCCATGGTGTATATGTGCCACAATTTCTTAATCCAGTCTATCATTGATGGACATTTGGACTGGTTCCAAGTCTTTGCTATTGTGAATAGTGCCACAATAAATATACGTGTGCATGTGTCTTTATAGCAGCATGATTTATAATCCTTTGGGTATATACCCACAATGAGATACCATCTCACACAAGTTAGAATGGTGAGCATTAAAAAGTCAGGAAACAACAGGTGCTGGAGAGGGTGTGGAGAAATAGGAACACTTTTACACTGTTGGTGGGACTGTAAACTAGTTCAACCATTGTGGAAAACAGTGTGGCGATTCCTCAAGGATCTAGAACTAGAAATACCATTTGACCCAGCCATCCCATTACTAGGTATAATAGCACTATTTCTACACATTTGGATACAAGTATACTTTTCATCATATTTATATTTTTTAATATTACTTAGCAGAAGTTAGGTGTATTAAAAATATGTATGTATTAAATCAGTTCATAATAATTAAAAGATTTCCAACACATCTAATATTTAAGAAATTCTATTCCTAGTTCATAGTATTTGATCTTTACTTTTTTAGGTTTACCAACAAGATACATAAAACATATATGACTTTTAAAAATTAAATATTTCTGAAGAACATCATTACTTTTCTCCACTTCTGCTTTCAGAAGCAAAAAGCATTTACCGTTCTGAATTCCTCCAGTAGTCATCTCCATAATTCTGAATCATGTGTTTATATTGATTTTTATTGCCTTATTGGATGAAGATATCACTTATTGACTTTGAGATATGATAGGAGAGAATTTACCTCACTGAAGCTACATTTTTTTGCTCTTTATTCCCAATGATTATTTCACTGTTTATGGATACTCCCCTGGTTACCATTACAAATTTAATTAACTGACATAAACCATCTATTTTTGATTCCTTAGTGATAGTATCTCTTTTACTTTTGGCTGAAGAGTAAAAGAGATCCCATCCTTTCCTCCTTTCTCCTACGTCTTCCATATATAATATGTCATCTATGGATTTACTTTTATAACATCAGATTTGGTAATATTTATATTCTGTTTTGTGTTGATTTGCAGAGACTCAAAAATTTTAAAATTATTATATTATTGTTGATAATGTTCACTCCGGAGCCATATAGTGTGTTGATAATGCTTTCCTCCTTTACAGGCCAAATGTGAAAACTTTTCTGCTTCTTTTTTTTTTTTTTAAAGTTTCAAACAAGTTTTATTTAAAAGTGTAATGACTTATATTTATTTTTCTTTTTTTTTATTATTATACTTTAAGTTTTAGGGTACATGTGCACAATGTGCAGGTTACTTACATATGTATACACGTGCCATGCTGGTGTGCTGCACCCATTAACTCGTCATTTAGCATTAGGTATATCTCCTAATGCTATCCCTCCCCCCTCCCCCAACCGCACAACAGTCCCCAGAGTGTGATGTTCCCCTTCCTGTGTCCGTGTGTTCTCATTGTTCAATTCCCACCTATGAATGAGAACATGTGGTGTTTTGTTTTTTGTTCTTGCGATAGTTTACTGAGAATGATGATTTCCAATTTCATCCATGTCCCTACAAAGGACATGAACTCATCATTTTTTATGGCTGCATAGTATTCCATAGTGTATATGTGCCACATTTTCTTAATCCAGTCTATCATTGTTGGACATTTGGGTTGGTTCCAAGTCTTTGCTATTGTGAATAGTGCAGCAATAAACATACGTGTGCATGTGTCTTTATAGGAGCAATGGTACTGGTACCAAAACAGAGCTATAGATCAATGGAACAGAACAGAGCCCTCAGAAATAACACCGCATATCTACAACTATCTGATCTTTGACAAACCTGAGAAAAACAAGCAATGGGGAAAGGATTCCCTATTTAATAAATGGTGCTGGGAAAACTGGCTAGCCTTATGTAGAAAGCTGAAACTGGATCCTTTCCTTACACTTTATACAAAAATTAATTCAAGATGGATTAAAGACTTAAACGTTAGACCTAAAACCATAAAAACCCTAGAAGAAAACCTAGGCATTACCATTCAGGACATAGGCATGGGCAAGGACTTCATATCTAAAACACCAAAAGCAATGGCAACAAAAGCCGTAATTGACAAATGGGATCTAATTAAACTAAAGAGCTTCTGCACAGCAAAAGAAACTACCATCAGAGTGAACAGGCAACCTACAAAATGGGAGAAAATTTTCACAACCTACTCATCTGACAAAGGGCTAATATCCAGAATCTACAATGAACTCAAACAAATTTACAAGAAAAAAACAAACCACCCCATCAAAAAGTGGGCATAGGATATGAACAGACACTTCTCAAAAGAAGACTTGTGTGCTTCTTAATACCACATATATTAAGCTTTTTTTGGGGTCAGCTTCATTTACCTTTATCTTCTAATCAAGTTTTCTAAAGTTTCATCTTTTTCCCCCCCAGAAAGGTGCTTCCAGATGATTCCATCAGCTTTCTTCATTTTGGTGCTCTGAGCCTATGCGTAACATTATCTAGGATGTCCCATTATTACCTCTTTGGGTTAGATCCACCCACTGTTTCCTGAATCCCTTGTCTTTCTCTTACTTGGTTTCCTAAAGCTTTTCTCAAAAAACTTCAAAGACAAAGTGTGTGCAATATAAACATTCTGAGATTATGAATTTCTGAAAATGACTTTATTCTACCCTCAAACTTGATTAGTAGTTTGGCTGGGTATAGAATTCTAGGCTAGAGGGTGTGGTGGCAGGTGCCTGTAGTCCCAGCTACTCAGGATGCTGAGGCAGGAGAATGGTGTCAACCTGAGAGGTGGAGCTTGCAGTGAGCCAAGATCGCGCCAATACCCTCCAGCCTGGGTGACAGAAAGAGACTCTATCTCAAAAAAAAAAAAAAAAAGAATTCTAGACTAGAAGTAATTTTCTGTTCAGATTTTTAAAGGCACCGTTGCATCAACATTTAATAATCAATGTTGCTAATGAGCAGTTGGGCTAATATTGCCTGGTTCTTGCTCCCTTCAAAGTTATCTGCTTTTTCTCCCACTAAACTTTATACAATATCAGTTTATGTAACTATGTTCTTCACTTTAAAAATATTTTTCATAGTTTGAAATTGGAATGATCCTCTACATCTCTGATATGGACTGAATGTTGTGTCCCCCCAAAATTCACAACCTTGAAATCCTAATCCTTAATGTAATAATATTAGGGGGTGGGGCTTTAGGGAGGTTATTAAGATGGAGCCCTTAGAAATGGGATTATGCCCTCATAACAAGAGATACAAAGGGATCATTTTCAGAACTATGAGAAATCAATGTTTAAACCACCCAGTCTACGGACTTGGTTATAGCAGCCCAAGCTAAGATAAATCTTTTATCTTTTCTGTCAATATTTCTAAGTCTCTATGTCTCTTTGTCCTACATTCTGAGAGGTTGCCTTCATTTATTTCCCAAGACATCATCTTAGCTTGTACATTATAATATTTTTATACATGAGCTCTTTCTTATTCCTTGATTATGTTCCCTAAAAAGTACTTAAGGATACATTATGTGTCAAAGCACATGGAACTTAAAAAGCTTGTACTTTATTGCATGCAAATTATACCTCAATAAAGTTGATTTTATAGCTAGAAACTATCTATTTATCTCTCCATCTACACTTTCAAACTCTCTCACTTTCTATTTATTCTGAAAAATTTTTCCTGCTGATCTTTTTCTTCTATCTGTATCAATCTTTCACTTATTCTCTCATCCAGTATTGAACAACTTTTAACACATAACCCAAATTATACTAGACGTCCCCAAGAATCAGATCTACACACCCGGCTATAGAGCAGAAGTTCTATTTATTGTGTCTTTTTTTTTAATTTATTTTTTATTTTTTTATTATTATACTTTAAGTTTTAGGGTACATGTGCACAATGTGCCGGTTAGTTACATATGTATACATGTGCCATGCTGGTGTGCTGCACCCATTAACTCATCATTTAGCATTAGGTATATCTCCTAATGCTATCCCTCCCCCCTCCCCCCACCCCACAACAGTCCCCAGAGTATGATGTTCCCCTTCCTGTGTCCCTGTGTTCTCATTGTTCAATTCCCACCTATGAGTGAGAACATGCGGTGTTTGGTGTTTTGTCCTTGTGATTGTTTACTGAGAACGATGATTTCCAATTTCATCCATGTCCCTACGAAGGACATGAACTCATCATTGTTTATGGCTGCATAGTATTCCATGGTGTATATGTGCCACATTTTCTTAATCCAGTCTATGATTGTTGGACATTTGGGTTGGTTCCAAGTCTTTGCTATTGTGAATAGTGCCACAATAAACATACGTGTGCATGTGTCTTTATAGGAGCATGATTTCTAGTCCTTTGGGTATATACCCAGTAATGGGATGGCTGGGTCAAATGGTATTTCTAGTTCTAGATCCCTGAGGAATCGCCACACTGACTTCCACAATGGGTGAACTAGTTTACAGTCCCACCAACAGTGTAAAAGTGTTCCTATTTCTCCACATCCTCTCCAGCACCTGTTGTTTCCTGACTTTTTAATGATTGCCATTCTAACTGTTGTGAGATGGTATCTCATTGTGGTTTTGATTTGCATTTCTCTGATGGCCAGTGATGGTGAGCATTTTTTCATGTGTCTTTTGGCTGCATAAATGTCTTCTTTTGAGAAGCGTCTGTTCATATCCTTTGCCCACTTTTTGATGGGGTTGTTTGTTTTTTTCTTGTAAATTTGTTTGAGTTCATTGTAGATTCTGGATATTAGCCCTTTGTCAGATAAGTAGGTTGCGAAAATTTTCTCCATTTTGTAGGTTGCCTGTTCACTCTGATGGTAGTTACTTTTGCTGTGCAGAAGCTCTTTAGTTTAATTACATCCCATTTGTCAATTTTGGCTTCTGTTGCCATTGCTTTTGGTGTTTTAGACATGAAGTCCTTGCCCATGCCTATGTCCTGAATGGTAATGCCTAGGTTTTCTTCTAGGGTTTTTATGGTTTTAGGTCTAACATTTAAGTCTTTAATCCATCTTGAATTAATTTTTGTATAAAGTGTAAGGAAAGGATCCAGTTTCAGCTTTCTACATATGGCTAGCCAGTTTTCCCAGCACCATTTATTAAATAGGGAATCCTTTCCCCATTGCTTGTTTTTCTCAGGTTTGTCAAAGATCAGATAGTTGTAGATATGCGGTGTTATTTCTGAGGGCTCTGTTCTGTTCCATTGATCTATAGCTCTGTTTTGGTAACAGTACCATGCTGTTTTGGTTACTGTAGCCTTGTAGTATAGTTTGAAGTCAGGTAGCATGATGCCTCCAGCTTTGTTCCTTTGGCTTAGGATTGACTTGGCGATGTGGGCTCTTTTTTGGTTCCATATGAACTTTAAAGTAGTTTTTTCCAATTTTGTGAAGAAAGTCATTGGTAGCTTGATGGGGATGGCATTGAATCTACAAATTACCTTGGGCAGTATGGCCATTTTCACGATATTGATTCTTCTGCCCATGAGTATGGAATGTTATTCCATTTGTTTGTATTCTCTTTTGTTTCATTGAGCAGTGGTTTGTAGTTCTCCTTGAAGAGGTCCTTCACATCCCTTGTAAGTTGGATTCCTAAGTATTTTATTCTCTTTGAAGCAATTGTGAATGGGAGATCACTCATGATTTGGCTCTCTGTTTGTCCGTTATTGATGTATAAAAAGACTTGTGATGAAATGGATAAATTCCTCGAAACATACACTCTCCCAAGACTAAACCAGGAAGAAGTTGAATCTCTGAATAGACCAGTAACAGGATCTGAAATTGTGGCAATAATCAATAGCTTACCCACCAGAAAGAGTCCAGGACCAGATGGATTCACAGCCGAATTCTACCAGAGGTACAAGGAGGAACTGGTACCATTCCTTCTGAAACTATTCCAATCAAGAGAAAAAGAGGGAATCCTCCCTAACTCATTTTATGAGGCCAGCATCAATCTGATACCAAAGCTGGGCAGAGACACAAGCAAAAAAGAGAATTTTAGACCAATATCCTTAATGAACATTGATGCAAAAATCCTCAATAAAATACTGGCAAACAGAATCCAGCAGCACATCAAAAAGCTTATCCACCATGATCAAGTGGGCTTCATCCCAGGGATGCAAGGCTGGTTCAATATACGCAAATCAATAAATGTAATCCAGCATATAAACAGAACCAAAGACAAAAACCACATGATTATCTCAATAGATGCAGAAAAGGCCTTTGACAAAATTCAACAACCCTTCATGCTAAAAACTCTCAATAAATTAGGTATTGATGGGACATATCTCAAAATAATAAGAGCTATCTATGACAAACCCACAGCCAATATCATATTGAATGGGCAAAAACTGGAAGCATTCCCTTTGAAAACTGGCACAGGACAGGATGCCCTCTCTCACCACTCCTATTCAACATAGTGTTGGAATTTCTGGCCAGGGCAATTAGGCAGGAGAAGGAAATAAAGGGTATTCAATTAGGAAAAGAGGAAGTCAAATTGTCTTTTTTTTTTTTTTTTTTTTTGAGACGGAGTCTTCCTCTGTCACCCAGGCTGGAGTGCAGTGGCGTGATCTCAGCTCACTGCAAGCTCCGCCTCCCAGGTTCATGCCATTCTCCTACCTCAGCCTCCCAAGTAGCTGGGACTACAGGCGCCCGCCACCACACCTGGCTAATTTTTTTCTATTTTTAGTAGAGACGGGGTTTCACTGTGTTAGCCAGGATGGTCTCGATCTCCTGACCTCGTGATCCACCTGCCTCGGCCTCCCAAAGTGCTGGGATTACAGGCATGAGCCACCGTGCCTGGCCTATTGTCTATCTTTCTCCCTGACCATCTTCATGAATTATGTCTCTTATTCATCAAGTTTTAATAATACAATTTTTTTTTGTTTTTGCAGAATTTTGAAAGTGCCAACCCTGCCCTCCTTCCTGAAGACTTTCTGCTACTTCTGCCTGGAACTCATTTCCTCTGGCCGTCTCCCACCTGACTCCTCATCATTTAGGTATTATCTATACTTTACCTCTCCAAAGGGTCCTGTATCAAGCCATTTTTGCCTTGCTATAAAGATATACCTGAAGCTGGGTAACCTATAAAGAAAGGAGGTTTAACTGGCTCACAGTTCCACAGACTGTATAAGCATGGGCATCTGCTTGGTTTTGAAGGAGGCCTCAGTGAGCTTTTACTCATGGTAGAGGGCAAAGCAGAAGCAGGCACATCACACGGTGAGAGCAGAAGCAAGAGAGAGAGAAGAAAGATGCCACACACTTTTAAACAGCCAGATCTTGCTAAACCATTCATGAAAAATCTACCCCCACGATCCAGTCACCTCTCACCAGGCTCCACCTCCAACACTGGGGATTACAATTCCTCATGAGATTTAGGGGGAACAATGTCCAAACTATATCAAGTCCTAACATGACTACATTATGTAAAGATCTCAATTTACTTCTCTACTTTTACATTTTCTATATAGCACTTAGCACTATCTAAAATAATCTTGGCTGGGTGTGGTGGCTCATGCCTGTAATCCCAGTGCTTTGGGAGGCCAAGGCAGATGGATCACCTGAGGTGAGGAGCTGGAGTCCAGCCTGGTCAACAAAGTGAAACCCCATCTCTACTAAAATACAAAGATTGTCCAGGCATGGTGGCACTCACCTGTAGTCCCGGCTGCTTGGGAGACTGAAGCATGAGAATTGCTTGAACCCAGGAGGCAGAGGTTGCAGTGAGCCCCAATCATGCCACTGCACTCTGACCTGGGTGACAGACTGAGACTCCATCTCAAATAAATGAATAAATAAATAAACAAAATAAAATAATCTTGTTACGTTTTCTGTTTCCCTTCAGCAGAAAAAAAGCCTCTATCAGTTGGGTTTTCTTTATTGACACACATAATATTTTGTAACATGCTTGTATATCTGTATTTTATCAGCTTTCACCCCAATAACATCTATATTAAACAACAGATTGCATAATCTTGATCTAAAAAAAATCTAGACAGAGCATGAATAGGTTTTGAAATCAGAAAATCAGAAAGACCTTTGGAAGAATTCTGGCTCCCCATTTACTGACCATCAGTGGTCTAATCAGTAAGATAAAGATTACAATATTTCCTGTGAACAAGGCTCTTTAAAGAAATGATATGACTGTTTTCCTAGAAGAGAAACATGGTAGATGCTCAATAAATTTCAATTATCTTTCCTATCATCATGTATTCATTCCAAAAATATTGACAGAACACTTGCTCTCCATCATATTCTTGACAATTTTGAATCTCCATGAATGTTCCTAATGCAGGAAACTTAAAACCCTCCAAGAAAATCCATTCCGTTGTGAATCAACATTAATGTTAGGATGTTTCCTTTATATTAATGGGGTATTTGTCCTCTTGTCTTCACAGAGTCTTCTATATGGCAAGTTTGTGACAACGCTTCATCTCTTCCTCTTTGCTCCAGCTTAACTGTCTCCACTTGTCATAAGCAGTCCCCATATGACGCAGCTGTTATTTTCTGGTTGAATTTCTGTTTGTCAGTTTTCCATGCAGTACTTATGGCATAGAATGCCACGGAATTCCCCAGGTGTTTTTACACTGGGGCATGCTGGAAAAAGACGGTCATCTCCTGAGTTTATTTTACTCATCATCACATTAACTTGTATTTTTTCAAGTTGCATCATATGAAGATTCATGTTGAGGCTCCTTAATCTTATCACATATGCTTCTGTTAAATAATATTGCCTTCATGTTGAACTTTTGCAGATTATTTTTTAGCTTAATTCAAGATTACAATGATTCTTACTACATTTCAGGCAAAAATAATTTACCTATATCCTATGCTATCAATTTTTTAATGATTTTTTTAATGGGCACCAACTTGTAGCAGTAGGGAACATTCTCAACTTTTTCCCTGGAATTTGAGTAGTCTGAAATGCTAACCATTATGTAATTCATGTTTGCCTTCATCTCTACTCATTAAAAATGAAGTTTTAAAAATATTGACATCTGGGCTTTATGCGTGTATACTTATACCATCTGGTGGATGTTATTTCCTTGTGGAATAAAAGAATTACATAGTATTTTAGGAAGGCAAATTTGGCACAGATAGCCATAAATATGGAAGAAAATGCAAATAACAAATTGGTCAGTTAATTCTAAATCTAAATTTATTAACAAGCAAGTCATAGATGTAAACATCTGGAATGTATAACCACTGGAGCAAATTTAAATCTAATTATTAAAAACATCTTTATTTTATGTCCATTAAAATTAATATCTTGGCAGAACAGACTCTCATATTTTGTATCAATATAACAAATTCAAATTATTTTATCAGGATAATTTTATATTCCAATTAGACCATTCTCAACATTCAGCATCTTATAGGACAGAATTTGTTCTAAGAAGAGGAGGACTGTGTCAGTTTTTAACTGAATCAAATTTTGTAAGGATAAGTATCCCTAGAGAGGGATTGAAGTCACCTTAATAATATGTTTTTCTGGTTTTCCTTAGCCCCTCAACCAAAGCATCCATATATAATAATTTTGCAATACAGTCACCTAAATTCTATTTGGAAAACTTTGAAAAATAAATGTATTAAATTATGGTAGATGATTTTTGTTCAGCCACTATGCATTCCCTCAGTTTCTGGTATGAGAGTTTGATTTTCCTTAGGCTAACTTTATCTGTCTCACTTTTACTCCACATTCCATACCTCCAAAACATGGGAATGTAATGCTTGCCAGACTAAGGAGTTTATCTCTTCCTTTCAGCCATCAGGTACACAGAATGGCATTGATTTAAGTTAGAACAATGCATGTTATCCCTACCACCACTTTTACTGAAACAATAGAGAAAAAAAGACTTATATGTTTACTGAGCTTACTTGATCAAATAGGATATAAGCCCCAAAGTATAGAAGATTATTTTCGAAATCACTTGAAAATAGTTACCTTAAAAGTGAAAGACTACATGCTATGAACTGAATGCTTGCGGCCCCTGACAATTCATAGGCTGAAATCTTAATCCTCAGTGTGATGGTATTTGGAGATGGCGTCTTTGGGAGTTTATGAAATCATGAGGTCTTTGGGAGTTTATGAGATCATGAGGAGGGAGCCCTCATGATAGGATTAGTGCCCTTATTAGAAGAGACATCAGAGACCTCGCTTCCTCTCTCTGTGCTCTCTGCCATGTAAGGACACAGCAAGAAGGCAGCCATCCATAAGCCAGGAAGAAGGCCCTCACCAGAAGCAAGCCACGCTGTCATCTTGATCTCAGATAACCCAGCCTCCAGAACGGTGAGAAATAAGTTTCTGTCATTTGTTTTTGTTTGTTTTTTGTTGTTGTCGGTTTGGTTTTTTTTTTTTTTTTTTTTTTTTTTTTTGAAACAGAGTCTCTCTCTGTCGCCCAGGCTGGAGTGCAGCGGCGCAATCTCGGCTCACTGCAAGCTCTGCCTCCAGGGTTCACGCCATTCTCCTGCCTCAGCCTCCCGAGTAGCTGGGACTACAGGCACCCGCCACCACACCCAGCTAATTTGTGTGTGTGTGTGTATATTGTTTTAGTAGAGACGGGGTTTCACCGCGTTAGCCAGGATGGTCTCCATCTCCTGACCTCATGATCCACCCACCTCAGCCTCCCAAAGTGCTGGGATTACAGGCGTGAGCCACCACGCCCGGCCATAAGTTTCTGTCATTTAAGCCACCCAGACTATGGTATTGTGTTATTTCAGCCTGAACCTAAGACACCACATTCAGAAAATGATAGCAGACAGATAGACAGAGACACATTTATAGAAATATTGTTTAATCATCTGGATCTCGCTCTGCCTGAAAATCTATTTCTGGTCTTTTCAGTTATACGAGCCAATAGAAGCTCTTTTTTCTTTCTACCATTTTTTAAATTGAGATTCTGCCCATTTACAATAGAAAGATAGTGGTTAAGGCACATTTTGAGTTCTCAAACACTCCTGCCATTTCTCTCAAGCCCTAGACTCACAGTGGAACAACATTTCAAGGGCAAGCAACTAGACGGCCATAATAGTTGTATATAGTTTTCACCCTTCTCAAAAAATATACATAGTAAGGATATGTCAAGATGAGTGCTAATTTAACTATGTTCAACTAATTACAATAGCAATGGAGAAAAAGCTATAGTACTTGTAAGAAAAAGACAGTATAAGCAGTCTATAAATGAATATTTCAACTACAGCAGTAGTCAACAAACTACGGCTCATGGAACAAATCCAGCTCACCTCCTGTTTTTGTAAATAGTGTTTGTGTAATATAGCCCGACCCACTCATACTGCCTGTTTTGGTGTTACAATGGTAGAGTTGAGTGGTAAAGAAAAAGACTCTATGACCTGCAGCGTCTACAGTATTTACTATCTGGCCCTTTACACAAAAGATTGCAGACCCTGCTACCGTGCACCACCAATTAAAGTGTGCACTCTGAAAGTGATCAAATGTGTCCATTATAAGCCCATAAGAAGCATTTGCCTGATCTCTGGATCCCATAAATCAAAACTAGATTGAAAGTGTGAGCTTTTACGGCATCCAAATCTGTCATATAAACATTCAGAGCCAGCCAGCTATTAGCAATGTCACCTGTATGTTTTTGCACACCCAATTTAACTATTTCTCAATGTTCCTTCTAGTTAGGTGTGGCCATGTGACTGAGTTCTGGCAATAAAATGTGATGAGAAGTGATGTGCACTGCTTAACCCTTCAAGACTGGCCCATAAACCCTTCTCACTGATGGGATTCTCACCTTCTACCAGCTTGTTGCAAAATGATTGCAGGGAACTTGTAAGCAACATATTTAATAAGGTACAACCATAACGTGGAAGGAACATGGACGCCTACATCCCCAGTTGAAGGAGAGTTATCCAGATTAGGAACAACCATTTGGGACTTTATATGTGAGATAAATAAATTTTTCTCATCTTTGAAACATTCTACATTTTCAAATTTCTAAACAATTAGTGTCACCTTAACTAATACAGAGTAAAAGTATTCAGGCTCTTAAATTTTTTTCTCCTGGTCATCTTTGCAAATATTATTGTTATGCTCTCTGCACTAGGATGGAAAACTTTGCAAGATAAATGAATGAATAAATAAATAAACAATCAAAATATTTTAATATTTACCTTCAAGGGAAGAGTAAGGTTAACCTGGTAGGTTTTATCTTTACGTTTGTTTATAACATGTATATCTCACCTAAAAATTAAGAACACTTAATTTAAGACATCTATTTTTGTTTATGCTTGGTAAGCTATTAGGCATTAGTACCATGGAAAGTACATTTTCCTACAGGTACTAGGGAAAGTAAATTTATGATTACAAAAAATAATTAATTAATATTACATTTTAAAACATTCTGTGACTACACAGTTATTATTTCAGAGCATTCTCTGTAATCCCAGTGTTTCCTCTATATATTGACTAATCTTTTACCTTTATCTTATTATTATATAACAAACAAAACACTTTGGAATTAAGAAATAGAAATAAAAGAAAGAAACTTCACTGTCTGTTTTTCCATTCACTTCTCCTGAGAACTTATTTTACAGGCAGCCAGGTTTGGAAAACAGGTTTCCAAACTGTAACGTAAAGCCATAAGACTATACATGTAGAACAATTTTCCTTCTCAGAAATATTGACCTCTTAGCAATCTTTATTTGTAGGTTAAACATCACAGGTACATGTATGTTGAACCATCGGATGGTTAATTTTATATGTCAAATTGACTGGACCACGAGGTGCCCAGATATTTGCTTAAACATTCTTGGTGCATCTGGGAAGGTGTTTCTGGATGAGATTGACAGTTGAATCAGTAGACTGAACAAAGCAGATTGCCTTCCCAGTGTGGATGGGCTTCATTCAATTCTTTGAAAGCCTAATTAGAACAGAAAGGTTGAGTAAAGGAGAGTTTGCTCTCTCTGCCTGACTGTCTTCAAGCTGAGACACTGGGCTTCTTCTAGGTCTTGGAATGGAACCTACGCCATCAGCTTTCTTTGGTCTCCAGCTCACTGACTACAGATATTGGGACTTTTCAGCTTCCACAACTGCATGAGCCAATTTCTTACAGTAAATTAATCTCTCTTCCCCCTTTTGGTTATGCTTCTGTGAAGAACATTGACTAATGTAACAGCTAAAACAATGGTCATTTACTTAAACTTGTATTTTAATAATCACATCAAAATTTATTAATCATAAAACTAATGGGATGGCAAAGTTTTACTGATATTTCAAGATATGAAAGTGCAATATTGTATGTTATTTAAGCAATTGAATCCAGGACATGATATAGCACACAGTCACAAAAATGTAAACTTTTATGGTGTCCAAATCCACCATATGAACATTTAGTGCCAGCCATTTCAAATGACTTTTATAAACTCCAAAACCAGAAAAAAAGGAAATTTGCTTTTTTTGAGGTTATATGTATGGTTATACAATCTAGAACTCCCCACATATTTTGTATGTAGGGGGAAAAAGACTGAAAATTACTTATTACATAAAGGGTTTGAGAAACGTAGATCACTGAGAGTTTTATCCCAGGACTTAACTCTTTTTATTTGTGTAATTTTGACAGTAAATCTGTCTGTGGTGCAAAGATACATCATGACTCTCAAACACATTGTTTACAGAACAGACATAGATGCATTCATGAACAGACCATGAAAATTTGTGTATGGTTGTTTTTTTCTATGACTCTTATGCTTACTATACTTGTGGGAATCTAGCTTAAGGAAGTGTCCAAACATGTCCCATTGATAGTTCTCTTGGGAAATTTTCTGCTGTCATCACCTAGGGGAGAAGAAGAAATATCTTCTCCCCTAGGAGATTGAGTCCATAGAGCATCAATCTTCGAATTTTAAGGTACATAATAATTACGGGAATATTAAATATTTGCTCCCATATATCCATTTTCAGATAACCTTTTCCCAAATACTTTGATTCAGTGAGTCTCAGATATGACCTAGCTCTCTACGTTCTAACAAATACAATAAAATCTTTCTGACAACAGGAGGTGGATGGCCTACGTTTTGAGAAACCACCACACAAACTTTCCTGCTTTCAATGTGATGAGTTTTCTTATCTGTTTATATCAGTTAGCTTTTTCTGGGTAATACGACAACAAAAATCTAGGTAGCATATAAAAATAAGCATTTGTTGATCACATGGCTGAAATCAACTGCGGTCTGCTAAGCAGCTCTGCAGATAAAGACTGGGTTTGCCTTCCTGTCTAGGGGTAGGTTGGCTGATCTGCTCCTCCAGGCTGGACTCAGCTGAGTCACTCAGACATGTCCCCAGGATGATGGCAGAAATACAGAAAAGCACATGGAACAGCCTGGGTCTCTAGAGGCCTAGGCTCAGAACAGACCTGCCGCCACCTCCATCTAACTCTATTGGAAAAAGCCAAGTCACATCGTCAAACTCAGAGTTACAAGCTCAAAAAATATTTTCTGCCATTTTAGTGGGAGGAACTGCAAAGTAACCTAGTGAAGGGTGTGGACACAAGGAGAGGTTACCAATTAAGGCCATTATTGCAATCAGCCCTTAGAAAGTACTGAAAGGCAAGTACAGAAAGTGAGCAGTATCCCCAATGAACTTTATTGGGGGGAATATGGCCTGTGAATATGCTGATTCAAGGCCATTTCTAGAATTTACATCCAATAGGAATAGTGCATTATACTTTATTTTATCAAGATACTTATTTCAAGCCTGTGCTGTGTCTCCTTCTACACAGTGAAGTATGTATAAATTGCCGTGCAAACTCACATGAGTGCCATTCGAAAACTGATAACTTCTCATGTGGAAAATATTATTGATTAAGATTACACATTTCAGAATGCATGATATTCTCAGATAAAGTGTGCTCAAGCTTAACACAGCTATAACTATGATAAAACACAATTTTGGGTAGAGAGAACATACATTTTCACAGCAGGATTTGCAATGCTCATAAAACATAATTTTAGAATCTTTCCTTGATTGATAATAAGGTTACAGATAGATATAACTGTAGCTCATCTTTGCTTATTTATGAAATATATATAAAGACTTTGATGAGTAACAATCGCACTCATATATATATACATATATATATGAATGTGGAAGTAATAAAACTGGCTTTCTTCAAGCATCAGAAATTGACACATCTTCAATTCATCCTGATTTTTGTTAATTAATGTAGATCAGTGCAGTTTTATATTACAGAAATACCAATATATCTTTATTTTAACAAATTACTACAGTGCTCTGAAAATTGAGGATTCTATATATATAACATGGAAATATTTAGCAGAAATAATTTTTGGCACATACATAAATCAGTGCTGGAAGAGTTACTGTTCTCAAAGTAAATACAGAGCGAAAAGATAAATTATTCGTCTTGTGCTTGCTCCTGTCATGGGAGAACATAAAAGGCCTCACTATAATAAATAGACCACTCTTTCTTTTAAACTCACATGATCTCAGACATTTATAAAAATAGAAATTTCTGTTGATAAATACTCTTGACTTGGAATGCCACAGAGACATCCTGCTTGGATTTTTTTTTTTTTCCAAAGTCCTTACTAAATCCTAGTATTCAAGGAAGTTTCTAAGGAATAAACTTGAGAAAGGCTGGTAGAAGTGGGGTCTTAAAAATAAAGGCGCTCATTTTAACAACGTGTTCATTGTTAATAAAAATGAAGCGTTATTTGCTCTTTTTGTTGTTGTTGTTGTTGTTTGTGTTAACCTGGCTGGAGTTTCTGTCAACCTTCCAAAAATGCCAAAGGCATCTTCCAGTGATCCAGTAAAAAATGCTGATAGATGTTTGGACTCAGTCACATCAAAGCAAAATAAGCATTGTGAGAAGACCCCTGCTCATATTTAACTAAGCAGGGTTAAACGATGAATTAACTAAGGCAAGTCCTTATATCAAAAATATCAACACAAACTCCCTGTCAAATTGACATCTTACTTTACATCTTGTGACTTTGAAAGGCTTACCATTTTTATTGTTTTTTTGAGACATTATTTTTATTATATAATAACTCCAGAAGTGTCTCCTTTAAGCTGTTTTCCATGAGTAACAGTCATACTCAAGTTAATATGGTGGTACAGGATAGATTCCAGATTGGAAGGGAGAAGCTTCCAAGAAAGTGAGGTGGTCATACTCATCAGACAGAGGTGAAAACAACAAAGAAAAACTTTTCCTACATCCAATGCTAACTATAAAACAGCGCAGATTCTATAGAAGGAGGCTTTTTTGCTGTTCATACCGTAAACGACTAATCTCTACTTATGTGCCATTTACCTTGGATATCCTTGAGGTATATCTGAAAGGGTGTGTTTTCCCACTGGCTGTATTACTAAGCAGTAAGTGGCAAGTTCCATGAAGACAGGGAATTTGCTTGTTCACTTCTGTATAAACAGGAACCCAAACCCTTCTGGCACATGGGTTGTGCACCATTAAAAATTGAATAAGTAAATTATAAATTTTAGATAGTTTTAAAGTTCCTTGTAAAAATTGGCAGTTCTATTACAAAGGTAAGTTTCTCATTTAGATTGTGATATGATTGCATAAATATTGGTTTGAGACAAACATCTAAGACACCCATAGTAGGACCTTTTGACAACAGAGTTTGCATTTAATCTTGACAACAGTGAATATCTACACCTAATTCACTCCCTATTCTACCAAAAAAAGTTTTCAAATTCTTTTTCCATAACTATTGATTAGAAGATAAATCAAGGCCATCTTATTTGTTAAATAACAAGTTGTCTAAAGTGTTGTCTACCGACTCAATCCATACATGGATGTGAGTAATGAAGTTTCTAAGTGTAAACATATCCTGCAATTGATACCTCATGTATTATTCCACTTTCACACTGCTATAAAGAACTGCCTGAGACTGGGTAATTTATAGAGGAAAGAGGTTTAATTGACTCACAGTTCTGCATGGCTGGGGAGGCCTCACACAACTTACAATCATTGCGGAAGGCAAAGGAGAAGGAAGGCAGCCGGAGAGACAGAGAGCAAAGCAGGAGGTGCTACTTTTAAATCATTAGATCTCATGAGAACTCAGTCACTATCACGAGAACAGCATGGAGGAAACCACCTCCATGATCCAATCACCTCCTACCATGTCTGTCACTTCACACGTGGGACACAGAGCCAAACCATATCACCTCATTAAAGCAATGTTAAGCTTATTTTGAGGGCTAAGGCTGCCCAGAGAAAATGTTCACAAATATACAGATTAGGGCAGGAATCAACACTCCTAGAAATTCATTTATAGTTCAAACTATACCACAAAGAGCAATTAGGAACTTCAGAAAATCCATTGGCACATGCAGCAGCATCAGTGGTTACTTGCAAATGAAATCCCTCTGGGGATCACTTCTGCCCTTCTTTCATCAGCCTAGGGGCCAGAATCCATGTGTCCTTCCCTGCGCCTCCTGAAGGGCTCTGTCTTCTAGTGTTAAATGCGCTAAAGACCACTAAAGGCTCCATAGGCTTCCCAGGGCTCTCTCCAAACCACCCTTTCACACCTTCCCTCTCTCTATACACCCTAGGCTTTTTTTCTCAAAGTAAACCAAGGCTGGAAGAGGAAAAAACAGTAAACCTCTTTTGAAAGAATTCACCTGCTTCTTCTCTTTTTTTCAGTTTGTCCCCAAATAGTTCCAAGCCAAATATATCTGTCACTAAAACAACAACAAATAAGTAACTTTAAAAATTTAAAAATCAAATTCATGATAAATGATTTTTATTAAATCTCTTATACGACTCTGGGATGATTTTAAGTGAAAAAACTGCAATGAAGAATACAATAATTGCTTGTCTTCATGCCAGGACAATAATGGTCTATTTTGATTCTCTTTCTGATTCGGTTCTTTCTTCAAGAACAAAAATGTGTACTAATTTAGGCAGGGAATTTGATCTGGGGAGGAAATGCATAAGGATGCTGAGGGAAAAATGAGCCAGGCACTTGGATTAGCAAAATCTAGAAAAACTGTAGTGTGGGAAAACTAACAAGCAAAGAAAAACACATGCTCCAAATATTTTGCAAGTTTAAGAGCCAATTGTTGACTGTGAAGAAATTCAGTCCTGGTAAATCTCCAAGCTTCTCTGCTTTCCATTTCTTCATACCAAACACAAACAAAACAAAACAAAAAACAAAAAACCCACAAAACAAAGAGGCAATTGGTAAAGGTAAAACTCTAACACTATGTGTTTTTTTCTACAATCTACTATCATAATCGACATATTATTAAGAATGTGCAGTCTCTGGTGCATTTTACTATATCATAGATGGTTCATTTCCCTGAATCTTTCTAAGATTATAAATTGAAAGTAGATTTATAGTTTTCATAGTCATAGGAATATTTGTCATTCCTCACAGAGAGAATTATTTATTTCTGTTGTCTAGAAAGCTGACCGATCGCATCAGTTTTACTTGGATGGAGGAAATTCTCTTTACATAGGAGAGACGAAAAGAGCCCAGGTCCCCTGCGGCATTAAACAGTATCTCCATTGCGCTGCATCTTCTATTTGTCCCTGCAGATCCACTCTGCATTCTTCTCCTTCTGCTCTGAATGGACTACATCAAAGGATCCTTTGCCTTCTGACTTCAACTTAGTTTGAATGGAGAATACCAAAAAAAGAATAAAGGAAGGAAGGAGTGTGGGATCAGGTATTTAATGTCCCTTTTCTCTTCCTAGAGGATCATCTGGAGAATCCTGGAGGATATAGATTGACTAAATCTTTCAACCAAAGGGGTCATAGCTAATGTCAGGCCACCCTCTTAACACAAATCAGTAAATCTCTATCTCTTTCTCCTCCTCTTTCCCTCCCCCTTCCTCCATTTCTCTATCTCTCTCTCTCTCTCTCATGACCATAATCTTAACAGCCTTGGGGTCTGATATGGTTTGGCTGTGTCTCCACCCAACTCTCACCTTGAAATGTAGCTCCTGTAATTCCCATGTGTCATAGGGGTGACCCTCTGGGAAGTAACTGAATCATGGGGGTGGGTCTTTCCTGTGCTGTTCTCATGATGGTGAATAAGTCTCATGAGAGCTGGTGGTTTTATAAAGGGGAATTCCCCTGTATACACTCTCTTGCCTGCCGCCATATAAGACATGTCTTTGCTTCTCATTTGCCTTCTGCCATGACTGTGAGGCCTCCCTAGCCATGTGGAACTTTGAGTCAATTAAACCTCTTTCCTTTATAAATTACCCAGTCTCAGGTATGTCCTTATAGCAGTGTGAGAATGGACTAATACAGGGTCCTTGCATGGCCTACCTTTCACCTAATTTATACCTTTAAAAGTTGTCTTTTACTGAACTTCCCTCTAATTATTCAATTTGAGTATGCCATCTCCTCCCTGCCAGGACCGTAAATGACACATTCACCTCTCCTCCAATGATCTCTTCCTTAGCTCCCCAATTATTACTGCTTTCTTAGTTTTAGCAATCAATATGAGCAATTTATTTATTGAAAAAGTAACGTACCTGGTTTATCTACAAGCCCTCACTACCTGTCACTCCACTGACCCTGCTGTCACTCACTGAAGTCACTGACAGGCACAATGCCAAATCCCTTACAAATAGCCTTCCTTACACTGCTGGTGCCCTTCAAAGCACAGGAGACTATTACTCACTGAATATTTTAGGTTCAGCTTCTTCTATGCCATTTTCTGCTTCCGTTTTCTTAAAAGCTCTTTTTGGTACTCCTGACTGAAATGATGTTGTTCTTCAAGTTTCTGTATTCAGTGTTCTGACTGTAT
This sequence comes from Homo sapiens, assembly GCF_000001405.40. Classification (NCBI taxonomy): domain Eukaryota; kingdom Metazoa; phylum Chordata; class Mammalia; order Primates; family Hominidae; genus Homo; species Homo sapiens. The sequence goes on along the minus strand of NC_000008.11, from coordinate 13,630,540 downwards.
GCAATTTCAGCAATAAGTATGGCTTCAACTGCCATTTACAGGCTGAAGCTTCCTAAATCTATAATTCCAGATCTCTCTGTTAATTCAAGGCCCCTATATCTAATAAATTTATTATCAACTCTAGTATGTTGATCAAATCAAACATGTCCATTTATTAACACATCTGTCTCTTCTTCTGAACTCTTTCATTTTAATGCATGTTAAAATCTCCAGCCTGAACATGCAAGACAAGAACACTGTGTTGTGGGCTGTGCCAGCTTAATCTCACTCCTAAGACTGAGGCCTGCATTTCCCCAGTTGCTACAGGAATGCTGACAACTCATTAATGTGTACTTCCCCAGGAAATGCCCTCAGCTAAAGGAATCTCTTTTACCCAAGCTTGTATCCCCTTCCTGGGGTAGCCCACATCCAGTGATTACTAAATATGGAGAACAAAGGCTCACCCTCATTGTCTCTACTTGGGGCCACTGTGATGGGCCATTGCAACTCCAGAGCTCCATGTAGCCTCCAGTGCCACTACATCACACTTCCACATCTCCCTTTGCCCAATTCCACTTCTTCCCTCACCCTCTTACAGGTGTTATTCCTAAGTTCTCCTCCATAAACTCCCTGCACAAAAATCTCTGCCGCTGTGTCTGCTTCCTGGGAGACCCAACCTCAGCTAGTGAGAACTTAGGGTCATTCTTGATGACTCCATCTTCCTCATCTCCTTCCTCCAATGGGTCACCCAGCCTGTGAATTCTCTCTTCTGAATAATCACCCTTTCTTTAAATCTCCACAGTAACTACCTTAATTCTGGTCTCCATTTAGTATCAAGATTATGACAATTATCTGCTAATGGTCTGCTTCACTCTGGCTTTTCTTTCCTCCATCTTATCAGAATTCTGCTGCTACAATGATCTTTGCAAATACATTCCATTACATCACTCTCCCGTTAAATTCCATCAGAACTTTAACAATCACCTTCAACTCTTCATAACTGAATTCTTGCCCATGTCTCTAGCTTCTCTTACTATGATGACTCCTGCTGCCACTATTCCTATCGTTAATGCTGCTACTGCTACCACTCACTCAGGCACTTATTAGGATGTGTAAAGAAAAAAGAGCCTTCCAGCTAAAATTTTCCTAATAGTTCATGCTTATGTATGTTTCCCTGTCTTTAAACGTGTTATTTCTCTTATCCAGTGTGTCTCCTCTAGCATACCCCATATTCCATCCACATGTCACACGTATTCCCTCTAGATCATCAATTCTCTCTTTTTTTTTTTTTTTTTTTTTTTTTGAGAAGGAGTCTCTCACTGTCACCCAGGCTGGACTGCAGTCACACAATCTCGGCTCACTGCAACCTCTGCCTCCCAGGTTAAAGTGATTCTCCTTGCCTCAGCCTCCCAAGTAGCTGGGATTACAGGCGCCTGCCACCATGCCTGGCTAATTTTTTGTATTTTTAATAGAGACATAGTTTCACTATGTACTCCTGACCTCATGATCTGCCCGCCTCGGCCTCCTAAAATGCTGGGATTACAGGCATGAGCCACTGTGCCAGGCCGTCAATTCTCAAACTATAAATGGGGATCTTGTTAAAATACAGGTTTTGATTTAGTAGAGCTGGGGCTGCAAAGCTGATGCTGTTAGTCCGGGGACGACACTTGTCACATCAAGGCTCAAGTTACCTCCTACTTAGTTGTCAGAAAACAGATATGGAGAGTATTAGTCATTATAGTGATATCTGAGTAGGGGGTGTTTACCTCTGCTACAATGTCTTACTGGATACTGTTTGCATTCTACTTGCCCAATAACACAGAACTTACACAGCCAGCGGGGAATATATCCAGGGTCTGGGAGGTACTTCATGGTAGCTGGTAATAGTTACTATTCTCCCAGATGGCAATCCCACTCACTGTAAATTATTTTACAGTGACAGTGGTCCCTAAGAGATCATCCATCCTGTCTAACAAAAAAGCAAATAAATACACTAGGAAAATAAAAACAGAATTAAGAATATCCCAGGCTAGAGTAGAGAAATATGCTTACTGCTTTCTTAAGTTGAGAAAGCAGTAAGTATATTTCTTGCTTATGTTACTGCTTGTCAGAGTTAAGCAACTTGTCAGAGCTAAGACATAGCAGTCATGAGACATATCACGCCACATCTCTTCCAGGAATTAATGACCATTATCTGTAATTGTTTGAGTCTTACTAATATACCATCAGGCAAGCTTCTAGACTAATGTCATTCTTGGAAGCCAGTGAAATTCATATTACAGATTTAAGGTCCTTTGATATAGTACCAATAACCCCTATATACTTCATCTTATTAAAACCATTATATATATTTCCATTGAGGCTTTTATAATAGTTCTTCTATGTAAAAGAAAAAAGATCAGGAAAAGAATAAATCAAGAATATTATAATAATTATCAAAGATGAAAATAATAAAAGGTATTATCAAAAATAGTAACTACATTATAGTGAAATAAATAATTCACCAGAATATGAGAAAAATTTGAATCTGTATGCATCTCAAAACATATATCTATGATATACAAAATAGAAATGTATATACCCATTACGAGAAATTCAAAAATTGATTGTTATAGCACATGTATCAATGAAGCAAATGTGGGAATGATAAACACTAACTTCCAAACAATGTTTACTTGGGAAAAAGGTGGAAAAAATGTATTTTTAAAAATATTTCTTTAAAAATGCAAAGATGTCTATTGCAAATAGTACATGTTGGCATCTGTTTAATCTCAATGAAAGGTAAAGCAGATTTCTGTTATATCATTTTTTGAATACTTAAAATGTTTTATTAATTTTTGGAAGGAATGTATGTAAGGTGATTTTGAATAGTAATATTAAAGCATTAACATTGTTGACTGTGTTTAGATTATCATCATCTAGATAGGACATCACACCCAGTCTTAAGAATCTGTAAGTATAGTAAGGCAATATCATTTAGCAGTTAGTTGAGAATATTAGCAAGTTCTTGTAATTCATTTTAAGTCAGAGATGGGTATCAGTATCTTTGAGCCATGCCTTATTAAATTTCCCTCTTTTGTTGACACTATAGTGATGTGACAATTAGTCAGGTTTGATTACAGAATCCCAAGGCCCCTGGAGTGAGTCTGCATGTTAGTGGTAGGCCTAAAGAGTTAGTTTTTTTGGTTGATGTTTTGAATAAAACCATCTGTAACTTTAGCTGGGGCCCCGCTGTGTGCATCTGGACTTCTGCCTCTTAATATAATCATTAAATGTTTTTCCAGTTTATTTTTGGTTAACTTATTCCCTGGCTTTGACTGGACTTTGTCTTTTTTTTTTTTTTTTTTTTTTTTTTAATCCAAAGGCTGTCCTTTTTAGAGTGGCTTAGAGAATAATTGCTGTAAGTCAGGAATGGATAGAGCAGATTGCTTTACAAATAATGGTTTCCTCTCCTTCCTGGGTGGGACTCAGGGGCTCAGAGGCTGCAACTAACTGGGGCCTTGATATTCTCTCTTTTCTTAAGTGTCTGTCAAATTAAGGGATCAATGAAAAGTGTCCTTCCTACAGGATGTTCTTGGTTCCTGTCCCACAACTTTCATCAACGCTACCATAAGGTCCTAGACAGACCCCTGACAGGTTCCCAGGCAAGAGGAAGCTTCTTGTGGAGTAAGGGAACATCTACCCACTCTCCTCTTTATATTCATACCACCCTGTTCCATAAGAATCGTCAGTGTTCCCGCTGAAAGTTTCAGGACACTCTCCCTTGAGTGGAGCTGCACTCATATTTTTATTGGAGATTCCACAACTACTACTGCTTACATGGTCTTTGTATATCACCACTCTATACTTTTCTCTATCACACTAAGCCAGGTATGTGGATTTTTAGTATTAATTGTGTCGTTAACTAGTTAGAACGCATTGATTAAGTTATTTTCTCCCTCCATGGCTCGGTTACTGCTGAGTTACTACTCAGGAATATAAATAAAAACATCAGATTAGACTTTTGTATGGTTTACTACCTGCGTCTTTTTGAGGAAAAAAGCTATAAAATAGTTCTGACATATTTCTATGGTTCATTTCATTATTTGTATCTTTTTGAGATAAAAAGCTATGAATAGTTTTAACGTACAAAAATGCATAAATAATAACATTATTAACAATTTTGTGTGCAACACTCCATGTTACAAAATATGGTTGAAACCTCTCATAGTCTATTTTCTCCATGTAGTAGTAAGAACCTGAGGGCAAATCGGTTAGGTTGTTCCTATATTTGTTCTGTTGATTCCAGAAGTCCTGCTAGATTTACTAATTTTGTTGGGTTTGAATTTTTTTTAATTCTAAAGATTTCTATATAATTTCCTCTATACGTATAAATTTGCCTGGGAGCTTCTTAGAACACCTAAACAGGTGTGTTTATTACCCATCTATCTCCATTTCTAGTTACCAAAACAAAAGAAGGTAAATTAGCTCAGCTGACATGGGGGAAGAAAGGAGACCCCTCAGATATCAAGACAAATCTTAGAATTAATGGATTTGTAAGGAGATGAGAAAGAAGCTGGATTTTGTCTCAGTGATTAACTGAAAAGAATCTTGGTGAAATTTTTCTGCTCCTGAAGGTTTCATTCTCTCAGCGGGATATTGTCTAATACATAAAATGATAGGTGGTGTACTATGGACACCACCTGATAGGTACAAATCCATAACAGGAGACCATTCTCTCATTTATCTGGGGGTCGCACTGTCCCCTCTTTGGAATTTTGACCTCTGCCTCGACAGGTGGATTTTACTTAAACAGTTTGCCAACACCCCCCGCCAACATATTTAAGTCCCATAAAGTTGCATATTTGCAGCTAATGCCCTTTTCTGTCATCAACTTAAAAAAAAATTTGTGTGTGCAAACACAGACACAGTTTTCACTAATATGTGTCATCTAATTCATACATGCCCAGTACGTAACACATGAACAACAAAAATATTTGTACAGCTCTTCTGAACTGAACGTGAACTGTTTACTTCCATGGGTAAAAAGATTTCCCCCTAATCCTTTCTACCACTGGCAAAGGGAAACAATATATCAGAATCAGCCAGTGACCATTTTCAATCAGGCAACTTCCTTCTGGGAACTTGAATATATCATGCTTGCCTTTACCCAAGTTTATAAAATCACAGCCATTTGAGCCACTTTTACTGACAAATCTTTTTATTGACTATGTCAGGATAAAAAAAAAAAAAAGCTGATCTATATTCTGATTCTGCTTTAATTGTAAGCAGTCAATTAAACTCCCTTCAGAATCAATTTTCCTAACTGCAAAAGGGGCTAAACGATCTTATCCTTTAACGTTCCTTAGCAATAGGAAATATTAAATCAGTGGAGTTTGAGTCAGATCCATGGTTTTTCATCCTAATTCTGTCATTAACTAGATAGCACTGATTGAATTAGTTGCTCTCCCCAGGACTCGGTTACTGCTCAATAAATAAATAAATAAATAAATACACAAAAACATCAGATTAGACTTTTCTACGCTCATTTCACTGTCTGTATCTTCCTGAGAATAAAAGCTATGAAGTAGTTTTGACATACAAAAAGGCATAAATAATAGTATTATAAACAATTGCGTATTCAGCACCCAAAGTCACAAATGTGGTTGAAACCTCTCTTGTAGGTTTCTTAAGTGTATGCCCCAATTTCCATCAGGGTTGCCCTACAACGAGTTTAGTTTTCTCATTCCTATGCATTTCATTGTCCTTTACTACATGTGTTTGTATCTTAAAGTTTATGTAGTACACTCTTTCATGCTATTAAATGTTCCCTAAATTATGGCATTCTGGAAAATTTATGGACAATTTGCTGGTCTTTTCATAATATTTGTGACAATCATAAGATTTGTGAGATTCATCCAAGACTATATACCAATGCTTGATGACTCATTTTTTATTCGTATCTGTATTACTTTTGGTGTATATGCCCCAGTTTATCCACTCATTCTCCTATTGAAAACATTTCATTTTCCAGTTATTTGCTATAACACACAATGCTATCATAATCATTCTTGTACATGCCTTCTTAATCTGTATAATATATGTTTCGGATTGGAATTGCTGGGACAAAAATTATACACAACTCATACATGCCAGATTTTAACAAACTGTTTTCCAGTATGATTAAAACAATTTATATTTCCTTAACAGTGACAAGAAGTCCTGTTTGCTGCTCCACGTCCTCACCTGCATTTGTGAGTGTTGGACGGTTTACATTTTTCTCTATTTTAGGACTGAAACGTTGTATCTGGGACTTTAATTTTCATTTAACTGTCTTCTAGAGAGGTTGCACATTTTTTCATATGTTTATTGGCCATTTGTATTTCCTATTCTGTGAATTGCCTTTTTATATATTTTTCCATTTTTCTACTGACTTTTCTTTTTCTTTTTGATTTATAGTTTCAAACCTCTATTTGGAATACTGACTTTGTCAATTTTTCACATTCCAAATATTGTTCCGTAGACTATCCTGGGTTTTTGTTTTGTTTACATTTAAAGTCTTTTGCTGCACAGGCATTTGGAGTTAGGACACAGTCAAATTTGTTAATCATTTTCTTTAGACTTTGTTCTTTATTTCTCTTGTTTAAGAAATTCCTCCTCTTATCTGCAATATTTAAATACTGTCTTAATACTCCTTTTTTTTCTGAATAACTTAAAAGTTTTACTTTTTTTATGCTTTTTTCTTTTCTTATCTGAAAAGACAACATTGTCATTTATTAACTTTCTGTAAGTCTGTGAGTCAATTCTTGGACTCATTTCTTTACTGTTGTTCTATTTTTCTGTCTCTTTTTCCATACCGTTTTCTTAAAATAAAGCTTTGTAAGTCTTAACACTTGGTACGATGAGCACACCCACCTGACTTTTCTTATTCAAAATTTTCTCACTTCTTTAGTGATCTTTTCTGTGCATTTTTAGACTTTTGTCAGATGCTGATTAAACCCTAACAAGATTTTTATTAAAATTGTATTATGTTTATGAATAGATTTGATTTTAAAAATTGACAGTATTATTTTATTGATATTTCTTTTGCATGAACATAAAACATGTCTGTTAATTTTAAGTTTTTATAAATTAATTTTCTGTAATATCTTTTAGTAAAATATACTTTTTTTTCAAATACTTTCTCTGCACCTTATGATTTATTCCTAGGTACTTTATATTTTTGTTGCTCTTGTGAATAGTATATTTTGAAGTTTATACTTTCAAAATATTTTTACTGGGGCATAGTAAATTAAATTATTTTTAGATTTTTTTTTTTCTTTTCAGATGGAATTTTGCTCTTGTAGCCCTGGCTAGGGTGCAGTGGTGCGATCTCGGCTCACTGCAACCCCCACCTGCCGGGTTCAAGCAATTCTCCCGCCTCAGCCTCCTGAGTAGCTGGGATTACAGGCGCCTGCCACCATGCCCAGCTAATTTTTTTGTATTTTCAGTAGAAAAGGGGTTTCGTTAGGCAGGCTGGTCTCGAACACCTGACCTCAAGTGATCTGCCCACCTCAGCCTCCCAAAGTGTATTTTTAGATTTTGTACAAATCTGATGAACTTTTTATTTCTAGTAATATGTCTACAGATTCTCTGACAAATACTGTGGACAGATAAGTTCATTTCTTCTTTTCCATGATCTATTCTTATATCCTGTTTTGGTATTTTACTTACAAAGATCCTCAATAAAATCTACATGGGAGCAATAGTAGCAGACATCCTGGGTTGAAATGATTTCAAATGAAGTGATTTTAATATTTCATCATCAAGCATGATATTTGCATTAGGTTTTACTAAATAGGCCTTAGGTTAAGAAGTTAAGAAAGTTTCTTATTTTAGTTTAGTTTGCTAAGATCTGTTGGTCAAGATATATATATATATATATTATATATTATATATACATATTATATATAATATAGATATATATCTATATATACATGTTATATATAATATAGATATATATCTATATTATATATATACATATTATATGTATCTATATTATATATAATATTATATATTATATATTATATTATATATTATTATATATAATATATTATATAATATATTATATATTATATATTATAAATATTATATACTATATATAATTATATATAATATATAATAATCTATATCATATATACTATGTATATATAATAAAGATATATATATCTATATTATATATAATATGTATATATAATATACATATACATATATGTAACTTTGTATCTTATTTCATTAATTTCACACTTATTTTTTCTTATTATATTTCACACTTATTTTTTCCTACTATCTTTTTCTCTGTGGTCTTCAGTTCTATTTTGTTTCTTCTCATAACTTGTTGGCTTAAAATTTTAATTTAAAGTAAATCATTACTTTTCAGACTTCCTTTTTAATATTTGCACTTTATGGAAATGTATTTTTCTAGGTATTACTATATTTAATGTGCCGTTTTTATCATTATTTAATAACAATATTATATAAATAAATACAGTTACATCATTATATTTTACTGGTAAATTGCTTAAGAGGTTGTGCCCTTCTTTCCTAGATAAGATAAACTTATTAATTATGCTGTTCAAATCTTCTTTATGAGTTTTTACCTGTAGTCTATTGACTACTGAGTGATGGATTTTAAAACTGCTCTCATAAAGAGGAAATTTTTCAGTTTGTCCTTAGAGTTCCAGTGATTTTTGCTCATAAACATTTGTTATATGATAGATATATTCTAGTTCAGAATTGTTACTTCTTCTTGTGGAGGTTAAACCGTTTATCCTTATTCGGTAACCCTTTTAATATCCATTTTTTTGTACTCAAGTCCATTTTGTGCACTAACACAGTCATCCCAGTTTTCATTTCTAAGTACTTTCTTGGTTTATTACTATCCTTTTACTGTTAACCGGTCTTCCTTGAGTTCTAGATGTATCTTGAGCTTGTAATGGACCTTTGTAGTCAACTCAACGATCTCTATCTCATAACCAACAAATTTAGTCCATTTATATTTATGAAGATTGTTGATATTTTTGGATTTATTTATACTACCATTACTTCTGGCCTAGGTTTTTTCTCTGATCTCTTTTATCTTTCCTGGCATATTTGCTGTTGGTTGGGTTTTCTTATTTCAGTTTTCTGTATGTATTTAGAAGTCCTGTTCCATTTCTTTTCTCTAGGGCACCCCCTCCTTTAGCCTTATAAACATTACCCGCTTTATAGCTCTTAGAGATTTGTCTTACTTTTTTTGTGTGAAATCGGCTTTGCATTTAACTTTTTAAATTTTTATTTTATTTATCATATATGTTGTTTTTCCTCACATTGGGAGGGATTTTTCTCTTTACCAGTTCTTAACATTTGCAGAAATAAAAATCTCCCACTATGTACTGTCCTTTCTTGTTTACTTCCTCTTCAAACTGATTAGCTGAAGAACAACAAAGATACCTTCCACTGATGGATAAGAGAAATGTTTAACTATTACTAAAAGACAGAAAGGAGAAACCCATCATTTCCTTCTTTCTGACTGTCAGTATTGATTTGATAAAGTTTACCTCATGTATTTGTCTAAAATGTGTTCTACTCAGCTTCTACTGATTAAGTCAGTCACAGTGCCTTCTTGCAGACCTGGATTCTCTGTGGTCAATACAGATAATGTCCCACATTAATTTAAAAAGTTGCCAACCTCTCAATTATATTAAGCTGAAACAGAAAGTAGAATAATTATATGTATTTTTCTGAGAAATCATCCTTAAAAACCATCGCCAGACTCCAGGTCATACGTAGACGACATTTTCTCTACTTTGCTACTGCCTGCTATATGCTGACCTTCCCATTCTTCCTTCTCAGCTGTCATTCTAACAGTTTAGAACTATGCTTAGAGGGCTGATTAGGGTGGCAGAGGCAGTTTACCACTAAAGTTTCAAGTTTCTCTTCCACAGTATATAATCATTTCAGCCTTGAGCAACTGGGGACTACATATCCGAATACCCTCTCCTTTACTTGCAAGTCGGGACCATAGGTCTATTTCTTGCCAGTGGAATATGAGTGTAAGTGATACACATCCACCTCTTGGCTGAAGGAGTTATGTACCAAGTGTGTGAGGTTCCTTGCTCACTTTCTGCTTTTAGAAACTTGGTGAGGCAGGGTTTATCTTGAAACTACAAGATGGCAGGCTCAAAAGAGGGAAATGTCCTGGAATTCTGTGTCGTTGGTTGGAAGAGCACTACCTAACTCACTCTAGACTGTGATATGAGCAAAAAGTATATTTTTTAAATTATTAATCTACTGAGATTTGGGAGTTGTTTATAATATCTGTTGCCTTGTCCAGCTTATCCAGTGGCACTCCTTTTCTTTTCTTTTTTTTTTTTCTTCTTTCTTTTTTTTTTTTTTTTTGAGATGTAGTCTCACTCTATCTCCCAGGCTGGAGTGCAGTGGCGCGATCTCGGCTCATTGCAAGCTCCGCCTCTGGGGTTCACGCCATTCTCCTGCCTCAGCCTCCCGAATAGCTGGGACTACAGGCGCCCGCCGCCACGCACAGCTAATTTTTTTTTTTTTGGTATTTTTAGTAGACACAGGGTTTCACCGTGTTGGCTAGGATGGTCTCGATCTCCTGATCTCGTGATCCACCCGCCTTGGCCTCCCACAGTGCTGGGATTACAGGCGTGAGACACCGCGCCCGGCCCGGCACTCCTTTTCAACAGGCGTCTTGTAGCTTAATTCTCTAAAATTTGTTTTCATTAGTGATTGCTTTTATATCTCTATGCAGTACTTTTAATAGTGGAGATGTGTTCTCTATTATTTATTTCATATTATTTTGGCTTTTTAATTTTTATTCTTCTGGTGAACTCTACTCAAGTTAGACACTTAGCTATGAATATACATTTTGTCAGAGGAAGCTGTGTTTGGCGTTGGACGTATTTTGTAGTGTGTTTGACTGTCTAGGAGAATAAATTAGTTATTTGCATTAACATTCCCACTAGTCATCAATAGAGTGAATTAAATTATGGTTCAACACAGTGGTAAAAAGAGCCAATTTCATTATTTTAAGTGGTACTTAAAATGCTTTTAAGTCTTCAATAATTTATTATCTTAAGGCACTAGATGAAAAATTTGTTAGTTCCTCTTTTTCCTGTAAATTACTGTAAAAGTGAAGGAAAACTGTAAAAAATCAACTTTAAAATACCTGGTCTAATTAACTGTTAACTTTCTTCTTAACAGCTAGATAAAAATTAACTTCACCTTTAAGTAAACACTTCAAAATGTATACAGTTATCTCATGTCCAACCCGTAATTAGAATTTTATCTAATTGGAAAAAAAGACAATTTCAGGATCTGGGAAAAATATGGGGAACATCACCCATGGAAGCCTGTCAGGAGATGGGGGACTGGGGGAGGGATAGCGTTAGGAGAAATACCTAATGTAAATGATGAGTTGATGGGTGCAGGAAGCCAGCGTGGCACATGTATACCTATGTAACAAACCTGCACGCTGTGCACATGTACCCTAGAACTTGAAGTATGATTAAAAATAAATAAATAAATTTTAAAAGGAAAACAGAAAATAAGAAAAAATAAGAAAAAAGATATTTGTGAAAAAAAAAAAAAAAAAAAAAAAGGTAATTTAGTCCAGTAAGCTACTGATGTAAACATGGAACACCTGAGCTTTTCTCCAGTCCCGGGTGAAATGAGGGTGCAGGTTACATCCCAGAGTACTCAAAATGAAACTGTTTACTTTTCTATCAATGTCATGACCACATGCTATGATTTTCTACCAAATTTGTGCTCTGTTTTACAGAGCAGGATAAATCTCTGTAGCACTTAATCCAGTGATACTTTGTAAGTAAACCTGCAAAGAAGGAGCATGTGACAGTTGCTTTGAAATAGTACTTTTGGTAGCAAACAAGTACAGGGTACAGTTAGCCTAGTAATATACCTGATTGTTAACCTCATGTAAGTGATGATTCATCTGTAAAAATCCATGCATTTCCTAGGTGTAACACTTTCACTCTTAGAAACATGTAAGAACATAGGTTTTTGTTAGAATAAAGTGGATATATTAGGGCCTGTATTATGATACTTGCTACCATTTATTAGGCTGTTGGTATGTGCCAAAAATTGTGATAAGTACTTTCTATACATAACCTCATTAAATGTTCACAGCATTCTGCGAGTTCAATCCTATTTTATTTACGTAAACGGAGTCTCTAAAAGGATGATTAAATCCCCCAAGTTAACAAAGCTACTTAATGGCAGAACTCAAATTTAAATACTGCTTCTAAAGCAGCTGCATTTTCCGCAGAAACTCACTGCCTGGTTTGCCACCTATTTGATAGATTTCTACTATAAATGACATATTATATCTTTTTTTTACACATAATTTAAGTACTTGTTGTGAATGCACTGATCCTATTCCAAACGAGAGGAAAAGAAAAATACCATTATTATCGTTGTTTCAGGAGCTGGAAGCTATGGTTTTCTGGGAGGATTATGCATTAAACTACTGCAAGAAAAAAAACAAGTCTGCCTCTGAGCAGAAAGAATCCTAAGCAAGGAGTCCTATACAAATCCGCCACTTAGCAGAAAGAATCCTAAGCAAGGACTCCTATCTAGTGTGACAGACCTCGACACTGGCTATTGCTGATTTGACAATAGCCTCCCTCCTTCCCTGCTCACAACACCTGTGGCAGAGATTCTTTATTCTTGGAGATAGAAATGAACAGTACCCTTCCTCCAGGGGATGACTCATGAAAAGTGTAAACCAATTCTAGCAACTTCTTTCCCCTTTCACAAGTGGTTGGAGCTAAGCCAGGTCTTCTGGATGGAGCTTTTAGAAAGCCTTTAGCTTTCCTAATGCAGATGTGATTTTTTGAGATGCTCCAGTCTTATTATGGGTGTGAGGATGAAAGAAACCATGCTAAGAATGTGTATGCACAGAGGGTTAAAAAACCAGCTTTTAAAGCTGCTTGTTTAATTTTTTTCAGCTCCAGTTTTCTAGTAAATAGGTTAAAAAATTGTAATACCGGATTATCTTAAATGTACAGACACCATATACGCCTAGGACTCTTTAAAAGATAAAATCAGAAAATACATACACTAGCATATTTAGAGTTACACAATGCACATTTTATAGGTTTATTTTTCATTACTCATTCAATATTTTAAACAAAATGTCCTTTTTGTATTGGTTTAATTTTCATTATTCTTTCAATGCCTCAAACAAAAAAACTGTAAAATTAAACAAGATTTTCCTGTGCCATTTTAGAATACTAGGATTAAAAGCAAAATTTTGCATTCATTCTGCTCGCTTGGGGCTTTCCAAATAGGTCCCTCCAGGACCTCGATAAATTGAGTTTAGGTTGTTTTCACACACAATGGCTACATTCTATTGCCATTTGTCCCCTCTCTTCTATAGCCATCTTTGCTCCCTCTACCTGGGGAGGCCACACAAGCATTAAGAATTAAATGATGAGTAGACAGTGAGTAAAGAGAGAGGAATTTTAACACACAGAGAATAGAAACTGAGGTAAGAAAAAATACTTTTAACATGCAGTTAACTCTTTAAATCTAATATTTTTTTAAGTCATTAATCCTGCAGCTTAGTCTGGAAGGGGCACAGAAGACCACTAGAATAATAGGCTTTATTCCAACCTTTCGGCATAGAGGGCTTCCAGCAAACCCAGCACCATTTGCAAATGCTCTGATGTTCTGTCTCATTAATAAAAGCCAAAGACGCAGTAACATGTTTATGAATTTGGAGCTCTTTAGAATAAAGACGACACGAAATGCTGATTGCCATTTCTAATTTCATAGTGCTCAGAGAAAAGGGCTTGACTTCAGACTTCCAGAATATGTTCATTTGCCAAACATAAAGTGAGCCTTTTTCTAGGTGTATAAATGACAGGGGTTTCTTCTGGGACTCTGTTTTGTTTCTGAAGTACTCTTTTCTTTCCTACCACTCTGCATATTGCATCATAAATTAGAATGACAGCTGCTAACCATGCAGAAAGGTTTTCCATTTTCAAGGAAAAAGGATTATTTTAATCCACCTCCGAAATGGAATAACATAATTTCATTAACATCTAACTATACCTTGTCCACTAATGGTAATGGATATCACGCTGCTTAACCAGGGTAAAGCACAGAAAATACTGCTGCCAGATTAAATCTCCCTAAAGGAGCAATGAGAAAAAATATATATCTAATCCATTTATATGAGGAAAAATGACCTGGGGCAGTAATGTTATTTTCTATTAAGGTAATCTGGAAAGTGGATGGAAACCAGTTAGACAGTAATTTAATAAAAGCACAACACAGAAGTCAGAAATGAACAAATTTATTCCCATACTGAGAACAGTTAAATGTTATCTTAAGCTTGTATTTGATCTGAGAAAATGATTTCCAAAGCCTGGAATATAGTGATCTTATAAACACCACTTCAAAGGTTATTTGAAAATACTTTCCAAAACAAAAATATGGGACATAGTTCTTTGTCAGTAATTCTAAAAGTCTTTAGAATGTCATCTCCTTAACTTCTAAATTTATAGTAAAAAAAAAAAAAAAGAGCAAGTAAGTTTTTAAAACTTTACTTCTTCAATGAAATATCTGTACACCTTATAAGTAACATTTTAGATCTCAGCATAGGAAGTTTCCCAACAGACTTTTTATATATTTACATTTTTATATTATTACATATTTATATTTAATCCTTTTCTTAGAAAACAAATGTGTTGTCCTCACAAAGGTGATTTTTAAAAGACGCATACATCTATTTATAAAACTTGTGTTATTGGTGGTGTTTTGTTCATGTTCGAAGGTCCTTCTAGATCTATTGTTTATAAAGGAGCTGTTCTCACTTTAAGTGTCATTTCTCTGCACCCCAGCTAGTTTCTTCATTTGTAACTCAGAAAGGACTGAAGACTCAGCAACCACAGTGTAGGCTGGGCAGTAAAATGGACAAGAAAACTAGTCAACTTCTAGCTAAGCGTGTTTTAAGAGTGCTTTATAGGTATTCAAGATTTGACCTTCAAAGCCCCAAATATTCCAATATTGAGTCCTTATCATGAGGCAAGTAAAACATTCTTTTTTTTTTTTTTTTTTTTTTTTTTTTTATTTTTTTTTTTTGAGACGGAGTCTCGCTCTGTCGCCCAGGCCGGACTGCGGACTGCAGTGGCGCAATCTCGGCTCACTGCAAGCTCCGCTTCCCGGGTTCACGCCATTCTCCTGCCTCAGCCTCCCGAGTAGCTGGGACTACAGGCGCCTGCCACCGCGCCCGGCTAATTTTTTGTATTTTTAGTAGAGACGGGGTTTCACCTTGTTAGCCAGGATGGTCTCGATCTCTTGACCTCATGATCCACCCGCCTCGGCCTCCCAAAGTAAAACATTCTTTAAAATATTTATTGGCCGGTCGTGGTGGCTCACGCCTGTAATCCCGGTACTTTGGGAGGCCGAGGCAGGTGGATCACGAGGTCAGGAGCATGAGACCAGCCTGGTCAACATGGTGAAACCCTGTCTCTACTAAAACTACAAAAATTAGCTTGGCATGGTGGCGGGCGCCTGCAATCCCAGCTACTTGGGAGGCTGAGGCAGGAAAATCCTTTGAACCCGGGAGGCAGAGGTTGCAGTGAGCCGAGATCACGCCACGGCACTCCAGCCTGGGACACAAGGCAAGACTCCGTCTCAAAAAAAAAAAAAAAAAAAAAGTACACATTGTTGCAATTGGAACACAAATTCAGTAAGTGTAAAATACATTTTTAATAAGCTCTTTAAAAGAGAAAAAGAAGCATATTATATATCCAGTTTTAAAGAATCAAAAATAGCGTATAATTGCATTTCATCCATCTTACTAATTCAAAGTATTCTTTAGTATCAGAATGAATGTTTGCATACAAGCCTTCTCCATATCGAGAGACTAGATTTGTCCAAATCGCTTTCATTCTTTAGCAGCTACACCTGGTTGCAAAATTGCATTTTTCTCTATTGATAGGCTTTGCTCTTGATCTTGACCTCTTGGGCATACAGTGCTCCCTGCTTATCCACAGTTTCACTTTCCATGGTTTTGGTTACTTATGGTCAATCGTGGTCCAAAAATACTAAATGGAAAATCCCAGAAATAAACAATTCATCAGTTATAAATTGCACACCATTCTGAGTAGCATGATGAAATCTCTCCCTGCCCTGCTACAAATCATCTGGAATCATAAATCATCTTTTTCTAGCATGTCAACACTGTAGACACTCCCTGTCCTTTAGTCACTTAGTTGCCATCTTGATTATTAGATCAACATTTGCAGTATCTCAATGCTTGTGTTCAAATAATCCCTATTTTACTTCATAATGGTCCCAAAGCACAAGAGTACTATGCCATATTTGTACATTTATCATACATTTGTCATTGGTGTATATATAGGAAAAAACATAGTATGTAGAGAGTTTGGTACTATCCCAGGTTTCAGGCATTTGCTGGGAGTCTTGGAATATATTCTCAGCAAATAAAGGGGGACTACTGAGGGATTTTCCAATGTTTCCTATGGCTAAACTCATGGTTTTACTTTTTCTTTAATTAATTTATGGACCTCCAAAAATTAAACAACTTTCATTAGTAAATTGACTAGTAAGCTTTTGATATGGAAATATTAAGTGTTTGTTTGACAGTTAATAAGGATGCCTCAGTTTGCTACACCAACCTTTTCTGTTTTCTGGAAAATAGGATGATGTACTCTAATCGATTCAGCAATTTCTGCTTTAAAATTGTTAAATTATTTAATTTCATAAACATAAGTGCCTTGTCATCATATATACATGATTCAAATAATGCAGGTATTTTTATAGCAAAACGTGATACTTCTCTACTACCCAACAGTTGTATTTTCCTCCTCTATACACTTGATGATTTCTACTGTTTGTCTCTGCTGCCTTTCTCGCTACTATGATAGGACATTTCTGCATGCACATTAACTTCTTACGGCAGTGCTGAGTCCTATAATTTTCCTTCAAAGAAAACTGAAGCTACAACTATGAATCCACATTTAAGTTAAAACGGTATGATACTAACATCTGGGAGGTAAAACTAAATTTGCACATGCACCAGTTGTGAAAACTCTACCTAACATGTGATCCATCTGTCTGTTGGGTGGCAAGTTTCTCCTGAGAGCAAGGCTAAGATATTTCACAATTTCATTACAATGTTAATATAAAACATTGAGTCTCTATTTTATTGAGGTTATTGTGGAATTGAGGAATGTAAGGTTACTTATTAAGCCCTCATAAATAGGTGACATTATCACCATTTTATGCTTTAAGAAATAAAACTTTGGAATTTAAGCAACACATGCATGATCTGACAGTAAGTGCCAGAGCTGGAGTTTGAACAATGCTGTTGTCTAATTGCAAATTACATTTTCTTTCTACTGTTTGAAGCTATCTTATGGCAGTGGACAAAGAGCCTCATAATTTTATCTTTATTTGATGCTTTGCCTTATTTCCTTCCCCTCTATTTTGACCAAGTTTACATCTCTTTCCTCCATCGTAATTGCTGGTATTCTTTCCCAGATTAAATAACCCTAATGTCCTGCCCTAGTGTGTTCACTTTTCACCTCTTGGAATAAATCCACTTCCCACATGCTCCCTGGAAGGTGCATCCATTTAATCATTGTTCAAACAGGAGCTGGATTGTGCCACAGAAATAAACATGATGGAGTTTGCCCTCAGGATGCTCACAGTGACCTATGAAGAGGTGTAAAATAAAGATGGAAGAATGCTAAATGCACAAAAGTTACCCAACTAAACTTGAGTAATTAGATTGCTTGCCAAATAGGTAACTCTTATGTTGAGCCCTAATGAAAGAATAAGAGTTATCTAGGAAACCTAGGTAAGATTATCAGTATTCTTCCTTTATGTTTTATTGGTGATACCATACAAATTCCTTCAGGAGCTTTTTTCTCTGCCTCCTTAATTTGAGAGGAGCAAGATATTTTGAGAGTGGCAAGAGGTGAAGTTAGTGAAGGCAGGAATGAGAACTTCAGGATCTCGTATGACACGTAAAGGAATTTTCATGTTAGAAGTAGCAAACATTTTATACGTAGAAAGATTTGGGTTGAATTATTATGTCCCCACAAATAAAAATATATGTTGGAGTTCTAAGCCCCTATACCTCAGAATGTGACTCCATTTGGAGACAGAGCCTTTACAGAAGTAATCAAGTTTAAGTGAGATCATTAGGGCAAGCTTTAATCCACTTTGACTGGTGTCTTCACAAAAAGAGAAAATTTGGAGACAGGCATGGATACAGGGAGAGCATCACGTGAAGATGGGGCAGAGATACTGGTGATGTACCTGAAGCCGAGGAACATGAAAGATTCCCAGCAGAGCAGCAGAAGGTGAGAGAGAGGCCTGGAACCAATTCTCCCTCAGAGACCTCAGAAAGAAGCAACCCTGCTGACACCTTCATGTCAGTCTTCCAGCCTCCAGAACTGTGAGACAATACATTTATATGATTTAAGCCATCCATTTTGTGGTACTTTGTTCCAGCAGGCCTAGTAAACTCACCCAAGTGCTAAGCAGAAAGGTGAGGTAATTGGAATTGGCTTTTAAGAAAGATCTAACTACAGCTACTGAGTGGAGAATGGACTTGAGAGGTGAAAAATTAGAGGCGAGGCTATAATAATCAATCTTTACCACATCACTGCTGAGTGCCTGATTTAGCAGAGTAAATCATAGAGGATATGGGGTGGGGGCAGACAAAGAATAGGAGAGAATGAAGACAAGACAGATTTAGGAAGGAAAATTAACCCATTCAGTTTTAGCAGTGACTTACAACTTATAAAATCAATATGAAGGCTGGGCGCGGTGGCTCATGCCTATAATCCCAGCATTTTGGGAGGCCGAGTCGGGCAGATCACGAGGTCACGAGATCGAGAGCAGCCTGACCAACATGGTGAAACCCCGTCTCTAGTAAAAAATACAAAAATTAGCTGGGCATGGTGGCACGTGCATGTAATCCCAGCTACTCAGGAGGCTGAGGCAGGAGAATTGCTTGAACCCGGGAAGCGGAGGTTGCAGTGAGCCGAGATCATGCCACTGCACTCCAGCCTGGTGACGGAGCGAGACTCCATCTTAAAAAAAAAAAAAAAATCAATATGAAGTAAAGTCCTTGCCGATAAATAGTAAAGGAAGGAGTCTCAGATCCAAAACCTCAAATGGTAGTGAGAAAAGTGAATAGAAAGGAAAAAAATGAGCAATTTGGAAACATACTTGAGTTACATGTTATTACATGAATTCCCATGCTGCAGAGTTTTCATGTCAACATATGGTGATTGTCCTCAAGTTTTGTTTTCAAATATTAGGAAATGAAGTATGCAGTATTTCCCAATATTGTTGACAATAAAATCCTATTTTTATTACATGACTCTCTCCAAGAACTAGCATTATAAGGAAAAACAATGCAGAATGGATTATCTACTGAGAGAAGATATGCAATTGAGAGGTCATTTGTGGCCTAAAGAGAGGGCTTTCCAGGAATGCAAAGTAGAAGATTTACCATGTTGGGTTAGAAGTCCATCAGAAAAGAAGACAAGTACAGATAACTTTCACTATCATAAAACAGTGATCTGAAGTCGGAGGAAGAGAATGGGGATAGTGATTGACATTGGTATAGAGATATTAGAGTTATACACAGAAGTGGATGACTAAGTTGAATGGGGATTATTTGCTCATTTGTTTTAAAAAGGGAAATACATGTTTGACAACAGGGAAGTGAGATGGAATAGAACCCAGTGCTCAGGTAATTTTAAGTACAGAGAACTTCCTTCTATGTGATAGTGCGATTTATCTCAATTTGTTTGAAGTTTACGTTGACAACACTTTCTCATGGAATTTAGACCTTGTCTCAATATGATGAGTGGGTACTGAATACTGGTAACTTTTTCAATATTGAGTATTTCACAAGTGCACACCTTAGTTTTGAAAGGTTTCACAGATAAAAGAAAAATAAAAATAAGACTCATATTTCGGTTTTCACCTAATAGACACACACACACACACATTTATTTATTTATTTACCATAAATTATTGTTTGCCACTATCAGATCACAACTATTCTAATGACTATTATGCCTTCATAGGCAACTTAAAGGCATTCCAAGTCTATTTACAAATAATCCTGCACTGATATTTAATAAAACAATTCAGCTACAAGGACAACTGAAAACTACCAAATGCTTTAATAATGTACGTTAGAATTTTCTTCTTCATTTCTCTTTCTTAATTGTGAAAGAACCAGACCCTATTTTGGAGTTTGTATTACCTATACCACTTACTCACTACTTAAACTGATTTGACCATATTTATCATTTGACAGTTTCTTCCAGGTTTCCCAACAGAACTGAAGATCTTTTGAGGGTGAGCGCATATTTATATCTGTAAATATCATCACCAGTAGCTCCCACTAAACTTGGCAAAGAACAATAAAAATTTATTCCAGAAATGATCATTAAGAGATACCTAAAACCAAAGATTTTTGAAGGTTAGGGGATATAGCAATGAATAAAATAGCTCTTTTTGTGAGGAGTTCTTTATCTGATTTAGGGATTTCAAATTTACCAAGCACAAGAGTTACACCAGGACCTTGTTAAAAATGACGATTTCCTATCCTTATCCCAAAAGAACAGTCTAGTAGCGAAAACAGGAAAGCATCACAAGAAATAATCACATGCAATGTAATAAGGGCTTCAAGAGTGGTATGAGCAAAGTTCTAATGGAGCAGAGAAGAGCAATTTATTTCCAGATGATAGGTAGATGTCTTTATTCTTCTGTATTCTCTGTACTGATCTTAGCAGTCAACTACCTTCTATATATGTATTGTAATGATAAAAATAATAACACAAACAAAAACAGGAATAGGAAATTGGTAGAGTCGACTATTTCCCTTCTATTACATCCCCTTCATCAGCCAAATTACAAAGTAAAATCTGACAAGAAGTCAGCCAAAAAGTTTTTATTTTTTTTTTAAATATGAGCTTTTATCCACTAATGTTGATAAGCAACCTTGCTCCAAGAGTTGTTCTGGCTCAAAATATTATACGGACACTACAGTTTTTGCTTCAGCTTTATTTCACCTTTGAAATTTATTTATGTGTGTGTAATTTATAAATGTGGAGTTTAAATAATTTAACCAGCCATAATTCTTGTTAGATATGTTAAATATCCAAACACTTCACTGTCCATTGGTCATTAGCTACTGCCTCAAGCCGTCTGAGTACCCTGGTGCAGCTTAGCACCTGCCTGTGACTTCATTTCCCTATAATCCAACAAATAAAATGAATGCTTGGCAAAGTAAAGAGCTCCAGAACTCTGTGTAAAGGATTATGGCCAACATTCATTCAATTTGGTTATTTCCCCAACTAAACCTGCTGTTAAATATTCTGCTTATATAAGTATGATAAAATATGAGTGGAGGTAGGACAGATGGATGGGTGACGAATGAATGGATGGATGGATCGATGGATAGATGGATGGATGGATAAATACAAACACGGAGACAAACAGACTGATCTTGCTAGAATCCTAATAATATGCAACCAAAAACAAATGGGAACCATTTTCAAACAATTAGGACCTTGGTACTGTTCACTCTTTGATTGAATTACTGTGTTTATAGTTATTTCACTGTACTTGCAGATATATATGTTTACTTTTAAAAAGTCAGCTTAATAAAACATCTGAACATTTCAACCATTCTTAAACTATCCCAATCCTACATATACAACATCCCCTGCATTTGAACATAATAGCTCTCATATCGCTTCCCATATCTTAAACCTATGACTTCCCAGAACCTTTAAAACTTTTAGAAATCGATAGAGGTCAAAAAGTGGGTGAAGGATATGAACAGACACTTCTCAAAAGAAGACATTTATGCAGCCAACTGTAGGGTCCAGCCCTACGGGGCTTAGCGGGTGTTGTCCCCGTGTGTGGAGACGAGAGATTGTAAGAAATAAAGACACAAGACAAAGGGATAAAGAGAAAACAGCTTGGCCCGGGGGACCACTACCACCAAGACGCGGAGACCGGTAGTAGCCCAGAATGGCTGGGCGCCCTGATATTTATTGCATACAAGACAAGGGGGGCAGGGTAAGGAGGGTGAGTCATCCAAGTGATTGATAAGGTCAAGCAAGTCACGTAATCGTGGGACAGGGGGCCCTTCCCTTTTAGATAGCCGAAGCAGAGAGGGAAGACGGCATACATCAGCGTTTTCTTCTATGCACTTATAAGAAAGATCAAAGACTTTAAGACTTTCATTATTCCTTCTACCGCTATCTACTACGAACTTCAAAGAGGAAACAGGAGTACGGGAGGAACATGAAAGTGGACAAGGAACATGACCATTGAAGCACAGCACCACAGGGAGAGGTTTAGGCCTCCGGATGACTGCGGGCAGGCCTGGATAATATCCAGCCTCACACAAGAAGTTGGGGAGCAGAGTGTTCCCTGACCCCTCCAAGGAAAGGAGACTCCCTTTCACGGTCTGCTAAGTAACAGGTGCCTTCCCAGACACTGGCATTACCGCTTGACCAAGGAGACCTCAAGCGGCCCTCATATGGGCGTGACAGAGGGCTCACCTCTTGCCTTCTAGGTCACTTCTCACAATGTCCCTTCAGCACCTGACCCCTATACTCGCCGGTTATTGCTAGGTTATATTAGTAATGCAACAAAGAGTAATATTAAAATTGATAATTTTCCATGATCATCTCTATATCTAATTTGTATTATGACTATTCTTATTCTATTTTCTTTATTATACTGAAACAGTTTGTGCCTTCAGTCTCTTGCCTCGGCACTTAGGTAATCCTTCGCCCACACCAAATATATGAAAAAAAGCTAATAATCACTGGTCATTAGAGAAACGCAAATCAAAACCACATGGCATACCACCTGATGCCAGTTAGAATGGAGAGTATTAAAAAGTTAGGAAACAATAGATGCTGGTGAGGCTGTGGATAAATAGGAATGCTTTTACACTGTTGGTGGGAGTGTAAATTAGTTCAACCATTGTGGAAGACAGTGTGGTGATTCCTCAAGGACCTAGAACCAGAAATACCATTTGACCCAGCCATCCCATTACTGGGTATATACCCAAAGGATTATAAATCATTCTACTATAAAGACACATGCACATGTATGTTTATTGCAGCACTACTTACAATAGCAAAGACTTCGAATCAACCCATCAATGATAGACTGGATAAAGAAAATGTGGCACATATACACCATGGAATACTATGCAGCCATAAAAAATAATGAGTTCATGTCCTTTGCGGGGACATGGATGAAGCTGGAAGCCATCATTCTCAGCAAACTAACACAGGAACAGAAAACCAAATACCGCATGTTCTCACTCATAAGTGGGAGTTGAACAATGAGAACGCATGGACACAGGGAGGGAACATCACACACAGGATCCTGTCGGTGGGTGGGGAACAAGGGGAGGGAGAGTATCAGGACAAATACCTAATGCATGCAGGAATGAAAACCTGGATGACAGGTTGATAGGTGCAGCAAAGTACCATGACAAATGTATACCTATGTAACAAACCTGCACGTTCTGCTCATGTATCCCAGAACTTAAAGTAAAAAACAAACAACAACAACAAAACGATAGAGGTCTCAGAAAAATGAGAGTTATGTATTGGTTTAACCATTTTCCATCCCATCACCTGGAAATAAGCATTGGCTTTAATTAGATATGGAATTGAAAAGTGAAGTCTTGCTTTCAACAGAGGCAAATACTTTTTTTTCTGCATGTTATTTCATTAAACTGACACTTCCGTTTAAAGTCTTAAGCTTTTAATAGAGATGCAGAAGTTTTGTCAAAATGAATAGGGGGATAAAATTTTACAGTTAAAGAGATATACATTAAGACATATTTTAAGGAAGAAAACTAAGGGTTATTCAGAGTCTTGCAGAAACTTCTAAGAGATTATTTGAGGAAAGAAACCAGTTTTTATGCAGAGTATATTTTCTTATAATAAGGGTAATTAAGCCAATTGAATGGGTATAAATGGAGAGCAAGAAAAAAATTGTCCATAGGGTCAATGCACTCTAGGATGGTAATAGACAGTTAATCATGGTGAATGTTAGAGGTCTTCAAGCTTTAGGATTTAAAATTAATTATGCTAATTAATGCAGTCAATAAGACATTGTTAGAATAGACTGATACTTCTTTTCCATTAGATTGGACTGATAATTCTACTCCATTAGATAGTCTGATACTTCCTTCCATTAGATAGACTAATACTTCTACTCCATTAATAGATACTTCTATCCATTAGTTAGACTGATACTTCTATCCATTAGATAGACGGACACTTCTTTTCCATTAGATTGGACTGATACTTCTTTTCCATTATATTGGACTGATACTTCTTTCCCTCAGATGGACTGTTACTTCAATTTCATTAGATTCTGTTGGTTAGAATAGTCTATAAAATGGGGAAGAAAACTAAAGCTTAAGCTTAATTAGTCATTAATTTAAAAAATATTTATTGAATACCTATTCATCACAAAGCCCTGTCCTGGGCGTTAAGGTAAATCAGCAAATAAAGTATCCTTTCTCATGGAGTTTCCATACTATTGGTGAGATAAATAGTAAGCAAATAAACACTTAAATAAATAAATGTTGTAACAACATAAAGCAAAGTAAGGAGAGTGTGGTAAAGAGGACGTCTGTTATTTCTACAGGTAGTCAGTGAAGATCTCACAGTTGAACTGACATTTGAATGGAGATCTAAACACAGAGAAATTTACTCCCAAAAGAGTATTTCAGGAGAGTAATCAGCAGGTCCCACTTTCTGAGGGAGGCATGCACTGGACAACCTTGAGGAATGGCAGGAGGTCCCATGTACCTGGAGTACAGAGAGTGTGGAGGTAAGAGGAGGGAGGAAAAGTAAGTGTTAATTAAAGTTAGAGAGCTGGGGTGAGGGGCCGGCTATGGTAGGGAATTATAATTCTGCATTAGGTTATTAGGGGATTTTTGAGATCACTCTTAGGATGGATCTTACTGGAAGAGTGGAAGAATGACATTAGTTGACTCGTGTTTTCATAGAATCAGCGAGGCTGCCTTATGTAGTAGGGACTACAGGGCAGTGGTGAAAAGGACGGGAGGTTGATTAGGAGGATGAGCTGCAGATCTGTTATGCTACGGCAGCGGTGTTCATAGTGGTGCAAAGTTGTTGTATTCCAGTTATACACTTAACACAGATGGACAGAATTGAGTGAGGAATGTGTCCAAACAAGTTAGGAGAAGTGTTTAGAGGAAAAATATCCTTCTGGAAAATGTATGTTTTAGACAGATAATCAAACAAAACTAACTGATTTGTAATACAGAGATGAGATATACGAGTTTATATACAATTTGGGGGAAAATACAATGCAGGGATAACCATAAGATAAAGAGATGTCTAATAGGTAACACCGTCTGTCCCGCGTTCAATAAAGTGGCTCCCAAAATAGTGAGCTCCACTCCCATCATCCAAATTTCCAAGGCAGAGGCTCCGTTATCCATCTTCCTTCAGAAGACTTCCCTGTTTCATGAGGTAGGGGACTGAACTGCTTACAGTTAAGCCTTTTTCCGATTTTCATCCCAATCGGGGAAAAAATTAAAAGGCAAAAAATACATTGTGGAAAAACTTCAAAGCAATTAAAGATCAGTCTTGTTTTCATGTAATCCTTGTTTCAAAATATTCTTCATACCATAAACCTCAGTGAAATATATGGCAATTCCTTCCATGAGGCATGAATACACCCACAGCTGATTGTAAACACAAAACTGGGGTCAACAAATGGAGAATGGTTTCATTGTCTGGAATTGCATTCTCTGATTGGAAATAGTCCCTTGGGAATTCATTACTGAGGACAAGTCCCACCCCTTGAAATTGCTGCTGAGCTCACTCATGATTATCAGACAACACATTGGCAGTGAGTTCATCTGCTCTACTCTGCTTTGGAATAACACATGTGATTAACCAGGTAAAACTCTTTTCCTTCTACTTTATACTTTGTATCATATATAACAATATACTATGTGCATTATTATGTTAGTAGTTTGCATGTTAAAGTCTTTCTAAAAATATTGTCACATATTTTATTCATGAAATGAAGTTATAGAAGGAAAGAAAAATGTCTGTGACTAAATACACATAAAAGAAGTTGAGATGCTCAGTGTCACTGTCTGACATTGATTGAAACTATATTCATCCAAAAATGTGTAATGCTTTCTCATGGAAATATGACATATTAACAATAATTGATCATTGTAATCCTCTGTCACATAATTTTTTGGAGAGATGATTTCTGCTACATAGTTCAAAGTGAAAATATTTGTTAAATTTAAAGGAGATGATAATGTGTTGGAGTTTTCAATTTTACTTTTGTTTCTACCTCTACTATTTTATTGAATAATTTCAGCATATCATAACATTATCATTGCACTTTGGAATAATTTTATGTATGTTTACAGTTATGTTGATTAGAAAAAAATATTTTTATATTTTTCTTATAAGCTTTTTCATAGAGTTTGATCAAAACCTATTAAGTACACCATTTACCTTTTCTGACAATTAGCTAATGTACCAAACAGACTCACGCAGTCCAAGAGAAATATATTACCAAGCTTATATTCTCAAAGGCATAGCTTTTTAAAAATTCAGAGCCGCTTAATCAACAAGGTTACAAATGAAATGATCGGTTGCCTTTGAGGTTGGGAGTTAATTGAATGAACAGATACCATGGCTTTCCTTACAGCAACCTATAACACTAATGGATAAGCTAATTTTTTCTTCCCTAAAGTAATTGCACAGTCATCTTTAATTTAAAATCACTTGCATTTACTCAGTTAGTTGGTTCCTAACAGGGCAAGGGTCTTGAACGTTTATACTGGGGAGATTTAAATTGCCACTATGATGTAGAGAGCGAAGACATTTTAGTAAAAGTAATTAAAATTTAACATGCACCTTTTTTGTTATATTGAATATGTTACCAGAGTTTGCAAGGAAGGTAATATTGGCACAAAATTAATCTTACAATACCCTAATTTTAATATGATTACATTTCTGTTGATTCAAGGACTTCAGTTTCCATACCAGCTAGGAAATTCTAAAAAAAAATTAAAGTAAAAAATCAGTGACTCCCATTAATCAAACTCTGTCTATATCAGTGAATTGTGTGTAAGAATTACCATTTTAATATTACCAAGACTCGTAATGAATGATGATGTTAACATAATGAATATTATGTTAGAATATACTCAGAATGAACTGATATTAATCATAGTTAATGATGTCTAACATCACGATGTTAGAAACACTACATAGAAATGGATGACAGTAAAAGCCAGCATTATTATTCCGTGTGACTTAAGAGTTCTTTTATTTTAAGAAAAAGATAATATTCTAAACTTTATTAAACAAAACAGCATGTTTGTGAACAATTTATTTATACCTTGATTATTTTTGTCATATCAACAGTTGGGTTATCTAAGTTATTGCCACGTAAAATCCCTAAAGAATTTTATTACCTGACATCCAAAATAAGTTTTCAACCCAGCACAAAGACCTTTCCCTTAAAAATTCAATTATTTTATCACTACATGTTGAAAACTGTCCGATGACAAATAGAAATGTATTATCTGAAGATACTTTCATCTCAATAAACTCTTTTTAAGTAACGTGGGATAAAAACTCTTTTCCTTAAAATCTTCACAGTATTGGAAAATACAAAAAGCCAAAACTCTGGGAAATATGATTTTGAAAAAAATTATGTTGTTTTATTTTGTTTTGTTTTAGCAACTGGGGAAAAATTATCTTGTCATAACTTTTTAAGATACATAAAAATTCTGAGCATATACAAAAAATGTACAGAGCAGTATAGTGAACTTCTAGGTACTCAGGACTGTTTTGACAATTAACACATAGAGTCATTCTTGTTTCATATACAGCCACTTCAACTTGTCCTAATTTCCATGTATTTTGATGTAAACCCTAGACATCATGTCATTTTATTTGTAAATATTTTAGTATTTACAAATCGATATTGTATACATCTCCAAAAGGTAAGCTCTCTTCTTTAAATTACTGGAATGCAATGATCACAGTTTAAAAAATAAATAACATTAATGTCATAAAAATAGTAAGTGGATAACCATCTTACAGTTTCCTATGTGTCTTTTTTGGTATTTATTTAAATCAGCATCCAAATAAGGCCTACACATGGCAGTTGATTGATTGTTTGAGATTCTTTTAGTCTAAAAGTTCTTCTTCTATCTCTTTTCCTTCACACATCATTGAAAATAGCCTAAATTTTTGTCTTATACACTTTTTCTTTCTGGATTTTGCTGATTGCAATACCATGGTATTGTTTAACATGTTCCTCTGATTTCCCTGTTTTTGTAAACTGCTATTTGAGGCTAGAGAATTGCTCAGATTCATGATTTATGTTTGGCTGGGTACTTTATAGCTGGCCTTGTGTTCATCCATCAGGAGGCACTTAATATGTAGTTGTTTTCCTTTTTATGACGTTGGTAGCCATTGGAGCTCAATGCCATATATTTTAATTGGAAATGTGAAAGCATAGAATTAATTCTGAAAAATAGTGGACACATTAAAACAACTTATGGAAAAATGACCAAAAATGAAATATAAATATTGCATCTGGGTTATATAGCCAGCAAAATCACCAAAGAAGGGTGTTTTGCTGTTGTTGTTGTTGTTATATATGATTGCATTTTCTAGAATTTGAAATTATATATAGTAAAAATTAATTGTCTCAGGTTTTTTAGAAAAGGCACACTCCAGTTGTTCCCCAACCCCTTTCTTCTGTTTTCCTTTTTTGTTGTCGTTGTTGTTTTGTTTTGTTTTTTTTTTGTCTATTATCCTGGCTCTTTACTGGACTCTTTGACAAGTTAGCCAAGTTACCATCTCATATCCCAGCTTCATATTGTAAGTCTAATTACTCTAACAAGTGCTTTCCAATGAATAGTAGTGTTATGATAGCAATGATGTTTCCAGAAATCAAAAATAAGGCACATAGTCTGAAAAATCCTTTTTGGCCCATCTCTAACAATCCGGGAACTATGGCTTGCATGCTGAAACACTGGCATTTCTTTAGAAGTTCTATTATTTATGAGACTAAATGAGTAGACTACTTTAAATCACAATTTTCTCAGACAGGGCCCTATACACTGAAGTATAAGATAGCATCTGTTTACTGGAAGACTGGAATTTGAGCTCAAGAGCTAGTCAGAAATCTGATTATGGAAACTAAAATATCACAGACAAGACCTAGAGAAAAGCTAACTTACTGGTGAGCTGACTGAGCCTTATTGTATTAGAACTCCTTGACACCGCAGACTGAGTATTATGTTAGAACTGCTTGACACTGCACACCTAAAATAATATTAATGGGGACGAAGGTGTGTCTTTAGGAGGGCTTTATATGACTTTACGAGATTGGCTCAAAGTAGATAACCATTTTTAAAAAGTTTATGAGACTCAAAATAAATGAATATGCATGTGTTAAGAAGTACTGAATAAACAAATAATAAAATATAAATTAAATTGGGAAAATACTCATGATTTGGTAAAATGAATACTACATATAAAATAAGTATATGCCATTTGAAGTAGTAAATGACTGTACATTACCAATAGGCAAATATATACAAATAAATGCCCTGATCAGTTTTGCTTATAAATCTACACTTGTATATTTCTGAAAATAAAACTGAGAAGGAATTTCACTGTAGATAAGGTTCATGAACATCCCATTGCTTAATGCTAAAAAAAAAGATTTACTTTAAATAAAAATTAATTCTTCAAATACCAAGATTTTGAAAGGCATCAAACTAAAATAAAATCTTTTCATTAGAGAGAAAATAGTCATGTACAGGAGTGCAATGATCTATTTTTACATTGCCACTTTTTCTTTTTTCAACTGCATCTGTACCACATTGTGATTTGGGTGAAGATGACTGCTGGAGAACCGTGCTAGTAACTGACAGAAAATGCAAAACGTCTTTGACGTTGCATTATTTTAAAGTTTCCTTGGACACTCTTCGGTTGTAGCTAATTTTCTGGGGTCCAAATAACACGAATAACCATACATTTCTTTTAATGAAAATAACTAAAATAACAGCCTTACTGAGAAATTTTAATTACTTCAGGTCCTTATTTCCCCCAGAAATTCATTAACTGGTCTCTTCTTACTTAAAGT
The DNA here is from genome assembly GCF_000001405.40 of Homo sapiens. Taxonomy (NCBI): domain Eukaryota; kingdom Metazoa; phylum Chordata; class Mammalia; order Primates; family Hominidae; genus Homo; species Homo sapiens. The sequence goes on along the minus strand of NC_000008.11, from coordinate 13,600,297 downwards.
TTTGATCGTTGAATTCTATATAGTCCATGCCTTGGGATAATTTATAAGTTAAATAAAAGACTATCTGAGAAACAGGTATGTCTCTTCATAGTGCACTAGCTTAAATCAAGATTCACAAAGAAATAATAGAGAATTACATACTTTGGGGCCCCTTATACTCAGAATTTTTGGTACAACTCCTAAAAGAAGGGGACCATGTTTCCTATTGCTTTCTAATGACACAGTTTAGGGTTCTTCAGATACCTCCATTCATGTCAACTTCTCCAACTAACGAAAGAAAGTAGTGCTTCTGATTTCAGGCAAGGCTCATTTGATAATGGTGAAGGTGGTGAAGATGCTAAACCTGAATGATACTGTTCAATAGGTCCATACCTCATACAGACTGATACATATATAGTAAGTTTGAGATTTTTTTCCCTTCTCAACTATACATTTTAGTTAGTTATCATATAAAAATTTTTATGTTTTTTCTTTCTTAAGAATTGCTGTGGCTACTAAAGGACCTTTGCATTTCCCTATTGAGAATCAACTTGTCCATTCCACACCAATGAGAGGTTTATATATACATTTGGATAGAGTTGACATCATTACAATATTGAGTCTTCCAATCCATATGCAAGGTATATGTGACCATTTATTTAGACCTTTGTTAATATCTCTCATTGTTTTACAATTTTCTTCATAAATGACTTCTTCAACTTCCGTAGTTTATTTCTAGATATTTAGGTTCTTGGTTTGTTCTTTGTTCATGCCTTCTTCATTGGGATTTGGTAATAAACTTACAAAAGAAATTAGGGCACTCTGTCTTTTTATTCATCTGGAATATTTTAACTAACACAAAAATGTTAGAAAGAACCACTTCATCCTAACATCCTTTTTAATGACAAATCATTCATTAAAAATGTCCCATAGATATTGATTTGTACAGGTTTTCTTTCTTTATCAAAATAATTTTTAATAATTTATTATTGTTCTATGGCACATGCATTTTATCCAAATGTTCATTATTGACATGAGGCTGGCATAATGATCTTTATAATTCCTTAGTACCTTCTATAATTGTGAATATATTTGCTTTATAAATTCCAAAATCATGTTTTTTTCTTCCCTTTGTCTTATTCACACATGTCAGGGGTATATTTTTATTCTGTGTCTTCCCATATAAGCAGACGTTTTTTCAATCAGAATGCTAGTTTGTTTTATAATTCATAATTTTCAGATTTTATCTTATTAATTTACTTCTGCTACTTCCTTTTGCGTTCTTCTTTGGTACCTTAGTTAAATGTTTAAGTTACAGAAACAATTAATGCCATTATTTTTCTCAGAGTATAACTATAGGTTATTTTAAATTGTATATTACATATACAATTTCATTTTTTTATTTAGAATAATGAAAATATTAGTTCTGACATTTTAACATGACTCAACAGCCAAAAAAAAGTTTTAAATTATTTTTCAGAATTTTAGTTCATTCATGGAATGAGGCAGAGTTGGTGTAACAATATGTACTAGGGAGTTGACTTGGAGTTGCTTTGTCACATTCTAAGGCCAATGCATAAATTGATTAATTAAATACTAATTATTAAAGCAAAGTTACAAAAGTAGTAATGCAATAATAGTAAGTATTATATTGAGTTATGTAAGAAAAAATAGTGCATGCAAATGTAAATGTGTTCATCAGCTTATGGATTGAAATAAAACTTTCAAAGGATGGTAACTCTTTTGAGGTAATTTTACCATGTTTTCAAGATCATAAGAGTAATAGATTACTAAAATAGTAGGTTATTCTAAAAGGGACATAAAGAATCATTTATCAGTCACTCCTATATCCTATTTAACCAAGAAACTCTTTCCTCAAAGCAAATGTTTGTTGGCTGTGTAAACAATGAAACTGACAAAGCCTCAGCTTTTGTCTAAGTGGTCCCCACAGAGACAGGTAGAGACACCCTTGTTGTGTTTCCTCCCTGTCCCAGGCTGCTCAGCACAGGGCAACCCTAGAGAAGCCTCTGGCTAGCAGCAAGCACTAGATGCTACTCTTACATATTTACAAAAATTAGACAAATTAAGAAAGAGATGATGAAATTTTATTTATATCCCATTTTATTTTTATACTCTTCAAAAATCTTTTTTACTTTACATTTTAATAATTTTAATTGTTTGTAAAGATTTGTACTATTAATTCAAAATCTCTAGAAAATAAACTTCTCTGCTGGATGAGAAAACTGAAGCCTAGTGGCGTTTACTTAGAAACAGGACAGACCACTACAAGTGGCGGAGCAAAATTAGTAATCAGACTCTTGATACCGATTTTATTTTCGGTGTAAACATCTTCAATCCCAATAAATTATTCACATCTGCATCCCATAAAGCGGTGACTAAATTTAGTTGTTGCATAGATCCCTTATTGTATATATAATACAATTGCAAATATTCCATGTAGCAATTCAAATTAAAAATAGATCAGCATGTTTCTATAAGTTTGTTTGTTACTCAGTCCTTCTGTGCAGTTATGAAATGTATTTTGAGTAGGGGTTAGCAAGATAGTGAGATACTGACTTTAAATTAAAACATCTTCATTAAATATACACACATTTTCTGTATCATAATGTCATCTGTTATTATGGTCAGTGCCTCCCATGTGTGTGCATCCCATAATTCCATTTAAGCATTTATCCTCCATGATATATACACACACATTACAATGTAAAACACACTATGATCTTTATCTTATTGTGATTATACAAAATAAGACTTGCTAGCTTTAATTTAACTCAAAAGGGTAAAACACCCAGAGTTACTATTATGCTGACAAACATAGCTCAGGAAACGAGATGGTATTTCAGGCTATTTTTTTAATATGCATTTTAACATGCTATTAGAACTAACTCAAGTGGCCAAAGTAGCAGTCTGAACAAAGATTAGATGGCAAACTGTTGTAAGAAATGGGAGAAGCAATACGGTTCACGTCTTTGGAAGGCCTAATCACGTCTTCTGTCATTCTTCTAGCTTCAAAATTGTCCAATGTCAGTTGCAATAAAATGTGAGATATAAGCTGACAAATCTATCCATCTTTCATTTATTTTACAAATTAAGTGTGGGCATTCTGATTCTGAATGTTAGAATTATATCAATAAATTTGATAAGAATTTTGGCTCCTAAACTGCAAACGTAATAGCATTAAATATATGGCCAGTCAAAGTCCAAGTGGACATATTGAGATGAAAAATATGAATTTACTTGTCCTTGCTGCATTATGTTAAATGAGGAACAGGATGACGTCAGAGTGCCAATCTCTCCTTCAAACAAACGAACATAGAAAAAACAAAAGAGTGTATCTGCATCACAAGAACTTCCAGAGTTCTGAAAGCATTCTGATCCACACTCCGCAGGCATTTAATAATATAGAACAATTGTATGATTCTAAAATAATTACCTCTACCAAAATTTACATTATTAAGACATTGACTATGACAAGTGTTTTTGCTAAGAAGAATTTCTTGAGCTCCAACTTCTTAGCTCAACCCAGATTTGTGTGAAGTCTTATGTGTGATCATTTTTAGGCCCATATGCCAGGGTTTTAGATGGAGGCTGAAGGTTCCTAGGAAAATTTATAAAGTACAGAACTTTCATTTGAAAGACTCCCAAATTTATCTCAATAAGCATATCCATTCTCCTTTCTGCCTCCTTTCTAAGCTCACATGCTCTCATTCAAAGCACAAGCACTCTTTAAAAAACTAGTATTGTTACTCTGCTAATTTCTTAAAGAGTTAAAGAACTAGCTTTTCCATGAAATCATCAGTTACCTTTAAGAAAGGCCTCTAAGGAATCTGATTTTCAAAATTCACAAACAGGATTGGAAAAGTTCCATAGACCCTCTATGGAAGAACCTAAAATAAAACACTTGAGGCTGAAGTCTGTTTCTTCAAGATGTTTAGAATCACAGGACTGAGGGGCTCTGCCAAGAAAAGCTACTTTTCCCTCCTTAAACTGTCTCCAACCTCGCCAACCTATTAATTCCTTCCAGAAGGCAATATAATAATAAAATGGAAAGCCATTTTTAAAGGTTCCTAACATCTTTCTATAAAGAACAAAATTTGGTGCTAAGACAGGCACCCAACAATTGACTATAAGATGTGATACCATTGAGATTAATATATTTAGCATGTTAACTCTCTCTACATCACTCTTATCATTTTCATCTCAAAAGAACAAATCCAACTGAAACTTAGTTTAAAACTTATTTAATTCATAGAAATATTTAACTCATCATGTGAAAGTGTAGAAGATATATGTATATATGTTTGTGGGGACTGCATGTATGAAAGGAGGAGATTTCCTAATATGTTATTTTGTATAGATTGCTTTTGTGTGATATATTTAGAAATGAAAATTCTGATGTGGTAACGTGCAATTATCATAGGCTGCCTACAAGATTTATTGGAAACATTTTATTTAGGTTGATAACATTTGTGAGTCTACAAGAAAAAATAATGTACTGTTCTATTTAAAGATGTTCTTTAAGATAATGCAATGCAATAAACCCCAGGCAATTTTTGGCATTGTGTTAAAAATACATATTTTCACAATTAGTAATCTTTGTCTATTTGAGAGAATGTTTATGTTTAAATATGTATCTCTAGTAGTTACCAGCATATCTTTCACCCAGACTCAATAAGAGTCGAAACTGTTCAACATATTCAGCATATGTTCCTCACTTTTTCCCTTAATCATAAAGAACTCAAGATTAAAGATAAATTTTAACATTTATCTGGTATTTATCTCATTAATGGCTAGAATATTCAAAGCAACACATGTGGGGCACATTGTCAAATTTCTTTTTAATTCAAAATTCTGAACACAAAATCACTTTTAAATACTAAAAGATATACAATTTCTGTTTGCATAACTATTATTTCCATCATGCAAAGATGCTACACTCACTGATGTTGGTAAGACAGTTCACACATTTTCATGAAAATGAACACATTTATAATACCACAGTGGGAAGAATTGTCACCTGACATCTGAAACACTACTGTCTTTCTAAAAAAAATCCTTGTGATTTTTGTTGGAAAAAAAATTAAATGTGCCTTTCATTTGGGAATAGGAGTGAGGGCCATTGGTGCCATTATTTTTAGTAATCTTAATGCTTGTGACTGTAGTAAAACAATAATTATTATAATTTCACAAGTGATCATTGGTCATTACATTCAGATTCTCTGGCGATCTGAAGAGAAAACTGCGGTGTGTGATCCAGGCTAGTCCACTTTTTTTTTTCTCACAACAATTGAAGAAGTCTATACAGAAATATATAGAAATTCACAAGAAAATAGGAATCAAAGATTAAGAATCAATCAATAGTCACATTGAACATCAACTTCCACAATCTCCAAAACCTGAAAGGGACGGTGAAATAAATTGTAACTTATACATGCCTTGCATAAAATTAAAAATAAAATAAAAGCACCCTGAAATTAGATCATTTCTTCTAACTTGCTTGAAAAAAAACCTCTGCAACAATCTCCATATTGTAAATATGGGTATTAAAGGTGTTCAGTTGCTGTCTGTGAAGTAGCCATTCTTTTCTTTCTTTACTTCTCTAATAAATGTGCTTTCACTTTAAAAAAGAAAAAAGGTTTTCAGGATATTGTCTTGAAAAGACAGTAAAGTCAAGAAGTTTAGGAGGAAAAGAAATGTAAAATGCAAAATTAAAATGAGGGTTACAGACATGAAGGAGAAGACTTACGCAGAAAATCGAAGAACTGATACAAAGCCCAGACTTGTGGTATTCTCTCAGAATGCAGAGGAAGGAAAAGAGACGAAAGCAATGTGGGAGAATCCAATAAAATGAGGATAGATAGTAGTAACAGAAGCAAGGAATTACGTTGCCTCACAAAAATCAATCAAAACAATGGCCATAGAAACAACATTTACAGAAAACTCTTCTGAACTGATACAGAGCGAAGTAGGCTGCATTGAAAGGTCTGTCAGTGTCTCAGGCAAAATCAATAAAAAGGCCTATACTTCAAAAGGTCATGAGGTTTTCTGTTTGTTGGAATCAGACAGTCTTATATTTGTTTATTCTTATTCAGGTTTTATCACTATCATATAAAAAGAGGATCTTTTTTCCTTCTTTTGAGACCAGGTCTCGCTCTGTTGCCCAGGCTGGAGTGCAGTTACAAGATCATGATTCACTGCAGCCTCAACTTCCTGGACTCAAGCGATCCTCCCACCTCAGGACCCCTGACTAGCTAGGACCACAGGCATGAACCACCATGTCCAGATAACTTTTTATTTTTTTGTAGAGACAGGGTCTCACTAAGTTGCCCAGGCTCGTCTTCAGAGGATCTTTGCATTAGCAGTTTCTTTCCATTTTCTTGGCCTGTGCTTTATCACAGTATTCTAATTTTACCTTGATGTTCAACAATACATCCAGCATGAGAACACCCACATAGATGAAATCTTTGCCCACACCACCTCAAGGATGTGCGAAATTGATTTCCTAATTTCCTGATTAATTTTCATTGTTTCACTTCTGAGTATAACTAATAACCATATGTCTTTCCTCTTCAAAATAAGTTTTCAAATAAGGTTGTTTTCATAGTAACCCACTTTTAGGTACCAATTCTGTATGAATCGGGCGGGGTTCCATTGCACTCTAATAATGAACAATCTCTTAAGCTAAGTGACTCAATACAACAAAGGTTTCTTTGTTATTCAAGGAACACATCTCTTCACTCTTTCACATTAGCCTGTCTTTGGCATCCAGGTTACCTAGAACTGGCAGGTTGCTGAGTCAGAGTTGGAGAAGCGTGAATTGAATCTTAAGATTTCATCTAGAAGTAACACATATAACGTCCACTCAACATTTCACCGATCAGTGCAAATTGAATGGTTACACTCAGCTTCTGGGGAGCAAAGAATTGCAATCCTACTTTGTGCCCAGAAGAACTGGAAATATTTGCTGGACAAAACCAATGGCTAGCACATATTCCCAGTAGAACTGAAGCAGTTAATTTCTCTGATACTTCTAAAATTGGTATGCTGATAAAGAAACCAAAGGATCCATGCATTTGGAATTAGGGATGCTAGATTTCTTCTCCACAACACCTCTTGGCCTGCTGCTAATAAAATGGGTGATGGCTCTTATTAAAATTATCAACTGGAACATAGATTGGGTGGGGTGAGGTGAGGAGTACTGCAGTGTAACTTCAGAAGAAATTTGAACAGCCTTGCTACTTCAGACTGTAATATCTTATTCATACGCCAAAGCTAAACTCCTTAAACAGAAACCAGAGAAATTGCACTTAGGCTTGGAAATATTTGGAAGAAAAAAGGAAAGAGGGACATAAGGGTGTGACCCTGTTTGAAGAGCATGACTCAGTAAGATTTCTGGGATTAATTATAAGTAATAGAATCAAATAGAATAATTGGGACGCTAACATGGCAAAATGTGTGTAACAGAGACAAATCATTGCTTAGCCACAAAACAAAACAAAACAAAATCCTAGGGCTTTATAAACTGCACCAGAAAGAAACTGTTGGCTTGGGCAGTAGTGTCCTCTGCTGAACACTGCTCCCAGTGCCTTCCTTAAGGGCAGGACTCATAATACCAAACACTGGAAATCCTCTTACTGGGGAAACCTTGGCAGGCCCCAGATTAGCTATCCAAGACTTACTCTATAGTTTCAACAAATGGCTGCTCAGTCACCAAAATATGTTTTGGATTAATTAAAGAGCTAAAGTTTTTTAAAAAAGGAATTTCTAAAATAGAAATATATTGGTCAATGTTAGGTTTTGGATGGAAAAGAACACGTAAAGCAAAAAGTAAGTTAATAAGCTATATAGAACATTAAAAGATCCATATGTTTGCTACAAAAAATGGGAGAAATATAAAAATATAAATAAAACAAATAAAAGACAAATATAAAAATATAAACGAAACAAACAAAATACAAATTTAAATATAACACAGAGGGTATGTCACTGATGTATGGTAAGATCTTATAGTTCAATAAAAAATCCAATATCTCACTAGAAAATGTAAGGGAAGGAGGCAGAATACTTGAATCGAAAATTTCTAGAAGACATTCTAAAAGTTGATAAATATAAGACCTTTACCATTTGCCCAATAAAGCTGCTCTTCTTCTACTTGCTCAGGCCCCTTGCTCTCTTTAAATTCTAAACGCTGGACTGTCCTGGGGCCCTATGTTTGAACTCTTTCTCTATCCACAGGTTTTCCCTAGGACCTTACCCAGTTCCAAGCCTTTAATCATGTCAGTGAATCCATATCTGATTGCAACCTCCAAACTCCAGATACTTGTAACCAGGTGCTGATTTTAAAACTCCACAAGAATATCCAAGGTACACTGAACTCGACAAGGTCAAAAAAACCATAGGTTTCTCTCTCCATTCCCTACATCTAATCTTTGTTTAATTTCCTCCATCTCAGTGTATTTCAATACAATTTGTTCCAAGTTGTTGAAGTCAAAATCTATTTATCACTGTGGATCCACTTTCTCTCAAATTTCATATCTGACATATCCATGAATTCTGTCAGTTCTACCTCTAAAATATATCCCAAATATTTCCAATATTTCTAACTTTACTGTTACCAATAAGTCCAAGCCAACATCATTGTTTGCCTAGATTAAAGAAAAAAAAACACTCCTAATATTTATCCCCCTGTATTAGTCTGTTCTCATGCTGCTATGAAGAAATACCCAAGACTGGGTAATTTATGAAGAAAAGAGGTTTAATTGACTCACGGTTCTGCATGGCTAGGGAGGCCTCAGGAAACTTACAATCATGTTGGAAGGGGAAGCAAACATGTTCTTCTTCACAAGGTGGCAGGAGAGAGAAGGCGTGCCAGCAGGGGAAATGCCAGATGCTTGTAAAACCATCAGATCTCGTGATAACTCACTCACTATCACAAGAACATCTTGAGGGCAACTGCCCCCATGATTTAATTACCTCCCACTGCGTCCCTCCCATGATATGTGGGGATTATGGGATTACAATTCAAGATGAGGTTTGGGTGAGGACACAAAGCCAAACCATATCACCCTCCTTGCAATAAAAAATGAGTGTGATAATCATTTTTCAAAGTACTTAAGATTGTTTCCATTCTATTTTTAATATCTCCCTAAAATTTCTCATCACACTTTGAGGAAAAATTCACCTCCTCACGATGACTTAGAAACCCCACACTCTGTGACCTGTTTCTTTTTCTCTAATCTCATGTCATATAAATTTCCTTCATTCCTTATGTTCAATGTCAATTGAAAGTACCTCCATGTTATTGCTGCCTGGAAATTATAATGAAGAAAATATTGGCCAAATTTGTAAAAGCAAAAATATAAAATATTTTGATTTTGTCATTCCTTTTCTGAGAGTATCGCTTTTAGAAAAAGAAAGGTAAACATATTTGTATTTGTGCTTAAGTTGTAAATGAAGCATTTTTAATTACATTGATAGAAAACAAACTAAATATTCTATGAATTGCATGGAGTAAATAAATTATAGAACTTTTAAATAATGGCATAATTAGGCATGAAGCTATTTAAAATCACTGCTACAATGAAATAGAGAAAACAAATATAAACTGCAAATTTTTGGACAATGCAAATACAGAGCCCACTCTGATTATTTTATTACTAAAGAATATTTTGAAGCTCCCAGAGTATTTTGGAAGGCTAGAAAAGTAAAATTCTGGAGCTGAACAACAAAATCCATTGGCCAAGCATATTATGAGGGATTTTCTATAGAAAACACTGGTGTCTTCCTCTCAGCATCCAAGATGCTCAGAACTGGATATCCACCATTGAAGTGTCCAAAGAACCAGCTGTTTTCATGACTGTAATTATGAGAATATTGATTTCTGCATATATGACCACCTTCTCACACTGCTCACTTCTAAATACAATGTTCCTTCCAAAGTTTCCACTTGGTGAAACCTAGGTGATATATCTGTACAATAGCTGCAAAAAAAAACTGGGGATGTGGGTTTTATGGCTTCTACCTTAGAAAGGGAGGACTCATAATGTGGGAAATCACCAGAATGTTGGAAAGATATTCAAGGATGTTGAGAGGCCACAAATGAAAAAAGTCCTTAATACTGTAAATATAGGATTGGTGCCAATCCAAACATATATGGAAAAATATATGCATAGGAAAATAAACTTCAGGGGAAAATAAAACAAAATAAAAGCATGTGTTTGTATATATATATATATGCATGTTGAGTTTCTCCTAAACTTTAGTAAGTTTTCCATAACATTTTAAAATAATGCATGTTCGCTGTTGAAATTTTGAAAATAACAAAGACATACTAAGAAGAACAATAATACTATAATACACAGATAGCAGCTGTGAACATATTTGGTGCAGTTTCTTTGCCTTTTTTTTCCAAAACACTAGGTTTATACATATATTTTTAGAATTTAGATGAGTATGTATTTCTTTTTTCTTGATTATTAAAATATCTCCTTTCACCATTTATATTTTAAAATTCTTTAAATTAAAAAAATTTACACAATCTCTGTTGGAAAAAAGATAACTGTTCCCACTGGTGTATGAAAGCTTCCTAAATCTGTGAAAAAAAAAAAACAGAGCATTCTATATAGAACTGGGCAGAAAGGATGAACATAACAATTCACCAAATAAGAAATGTGTAAATAGCTAAGCAACATGAAAAAACATCCTCAAGGTCATTAAATAAGATAATTGCAAATTAAAGATGATTCTCTATGATGTCATAGTTGAATTTTCAGTGGATTCTGCGTTGCAAAATGAACTCAACACAAGCCAACTTTCCCCTGAATGTCACTTTCAGAGGGCTCATGTGATCTATCCACAAAGTGCCTATCTCAAAGCTGTCAGAAAGGTCTACTAGAATTTTCTCAGGAGAAATGGAGACTCATTGTGCCTTGCTGTTGTAACAGTGAATGTTCCTTTAGTTTTTGCAAACATTCTTAGAAAGACTTTATTTTGTTTTTTGTTTTTCTAATAGCATTTTCAACAATTATATAAAATACAAAGATCTCAGTTCTATTATAACATTAAAAAAGCATACATAAGCATCTCTGGGCTAAGAATGGTTAAGTTGTATAAACTGACGACAGCCTGTTGTTTGGACAGATGAAGGATAGCCTAATGAAGAATATGGATCGTGTGGTTAAAATACAAAGAAAAACTTGGCAAGAACTGGCTTTGGTATTTGACTTCTCACTGTGCACTAGCAACCCATAATTATTATCATATTCTGTTTTATGTTGAATGGATATGGTCCAGAACTGTGAAAAATATCTCTCTTATAGGAATGTGAGGGCAATCTGACTCCATCTGTCACCCATTTGACTGCCTTGGGGTAATGTAGCTTGTTAAACAGGTGACCTTCTCCCTCCTCACTTATCCCAAAACTATGAGCTTTGTTACAAAACAAAAGAACTCCCATAAACATAGAGCAGAAGAGTAGCCATGACCTCTCCCAGCCCCTATGCTTCTCCTAGTCTAATAAATATCACTTAACCATGCATCCCAAGCCTATATCTTTAGTCTTTGAGAAGACAGCTGCTGAGATAGTCAAGTAGCCATAATTTCTGAATTGTCTTATATTGAGCCAAAAGTTAGAGGTAAATTGTACCAAGATTTTTATTTGAACTTTCATTTAAGACTATTTTCTGTCACTTTTATGGAATATACTTTAATTTTATTGCTGTATTATCCAGTAAAATTGGGAGTTTTAAACATGCTGTACCCCCAGGCTATAATTCTTGCAGTGGAATTCATTTATATTCAGTGTTGGATGAGCATGGCAATGATAATATTCTGCTGCCTCCTAAGTTTTTATCGGGTCTCTGCTCTCTTTCTCTGGCTCTCAACTACTGTGGAATGAATATATTCACCTAAATGTCATACACCAAATTCAAAATAATGACTTCCTCCTCATTCTGACAAACCTCTCCCTTTCCTGGATTCTCTCTCTTCGGTAATCCACCCAGTAGGCTAATATAGGTATCATGCTTCCTACCATTTTCTCTCTTCTAATCAACTGGGCACCAGGGTTTGTCTATTTTTTTAACCCCATTCTTTTTCCATTGTTCATCTGTTTTCTCTGCCATTATGTAATTTCGGGCCTTCAAAAGTAATCAGTTGAGCTAGAACCATGAATCCTTGCAGACTGTGCTTCCATTTGGAAGAACTGGGATTGGAACTGAAGACTGTCTGACTTTTAAAACCTGGGCTCTTAACCTCTGGTGTAAGCTGAAGTAGGACCTATATAATAAAGGTCAATGACTTTGGAATTTGATCTATATACAATAGGAGTGATGTTATCCAAGAAGTTTTAAATGTTTAACATAATTTTCATATTGGATGTATTGCTGTAAAATCATACTGCCATGAGGGGAAGGGTGAGAAAGTTATAGTAATTGGGGCATGATATGATACAGGAGAAATTTAGAGAAAAGTGTGAATCTGAGAGTAGAGTACTGATAGAAACTTGAAAGATTGACTAGCACATTATTTTAGTTCTCTGATTGCTGTATTAAAATATCAACATATAATAAAAGACTTCATTTTTACTTCCCAGGTAAACAGAACTTATGGATTAAAGAGCCAACATTGCAGTTAACATCGCCTATATAAACATACATATATATATAGGCAATGTATATATATATATATATATATATGCAATGTATATATATATATATTTTCTCTCTCTCTGTGTGTGTGTGTGTGTGTGTGTGTATAGTCACATTTGTGCTGTTCAAAGCTTTATTTTTACATTTGGAAAACACACCAGTGGTTCAGATTCTATAAAGCTCTTCAAACAAAAAGAGAATCGTACATGTAATGCATGTCTCCTCTATATTTATCATTTGGTCCAACAGAGCTTTGTTTGGAAAGTGTCTGTGATATCCTAAAACAAAGTTCCAGATGGAGGAGGTGAAAATAGACATATGTTCCAGCTGTTTTTAATCTCTTTCTCTCTCTTTTTTTTTTCTTGGCTATGGTTACACTAAAAGCACACCCTTTAAAAGACAGAATAATCACTCTCTTCAAATGTGAGGGGTTCATCTAATGGCCACTCACAAAATTTTATCTATTCTAATAAAATGTGCATCTGTGCATGTACAGGCTTGTGGTGTATATGTGCCACCATCTGTGGATAGGCGCATGCATGAATGTGTGTGTGTGTGTGTGTGTGTGTGTGTAAACTATTTTCCCAAGTGGAGCTTGTTTTATAGGTGGAATCACTACCTACATATATTTCTAACTCTCTACTAGACATGTATTGCATAAAACCCTAAGTTTAAAAAGGTCCTCAATGTCCATGTATTATTATATTGAGGCACCTGATGCAGGTGGGTCTTACTTAGTTGTTGAAGGTTTCTGGTACCTTAGAATGATCAAAACTAGGTAAAGAGCATGTCCTTAGAGAATGCCACTATAACAAGTCTTGCTTGAATACTATCTATAGGCACTTCAAACTTCATATATCCTTGTGGTGATGGAACTGTTCTGTATTTTGACTGGATTGATGTCAACATTCTGGTTGTGATATTGTACTACATAGTTTTTAAAGACGTTGCCTTTCAAAAAACTAGAGAAGGGTACCGTTGGGTCTCTCTGTATTATTTCTTACATGTTTCATTTTACATGCAGGTGTGTGTGTGTGTGTGTGTGTGTGTGTGTGTGTGTGCATGTGCATCTGCATTATTCTCTAAATATTTAAAAAAGTCTAATTAAAAAAACTCAATTCATTCAGTTACTAACCTATCTACCAAAAGAAATTACTATGCTCTCCCCCATGAGAACACATTTCTTATATCTTTAACATCTGCTGATGACACCAGCATGTACATAATGAGAACGTATGAGCCATCTTTGACTCTTCCCTACTCCCCTCTACTGTTCAATCGGTCATCAAGTCTTACTGATTTACTTCCTGTTTCTAGAAATCATCTATCTCCTCTTCTTCTTTCCTACTACTGGTGGCCAAGTTTCAGAGCCTCATTCTCTCTGTCTTGGTTAATGAAACCATATCCAAATTGCCCTTCCTGCCTCAAGCCTTACCACCTTAAAACAGTCATCATAAATGCAGCTGCATATTAGAATCACTTGAGAAGCTTTTATACAACAATACTGCCAAGATCTCTATCCTAGGACAATTAGCAGAGAGAGCCCATGAGTAGGGCCTGGTCATCAGTATATTTTCAAACTTCCAAGATAATTATAATGTGCAGCCATGGTTGAGAATCATTCCCTTGAATGTCTATTTTCAGCTATAACTCTACAATGATTTCACTAAAAATGAAAGGCTAAGCATTATATTTCTCTGCTTTATCCTCCCTCTCTATTACAGTTTGAATTATATCCCTCCAAAATTAATACACTGAAAAAGTACTTCAGAATGTGACTGTATTTGGAGACAAGATGTTTACAATGGTAATCAAGTTCTTTAATACACCCAGTGTCCCTATGAAGAGGGAAAATTTGGATAGGGATATGAGCATGGGTAGAATAAAATATGAATGTGAAAGAAGAAATCAGGGTGATGTTCCTACAAGCCAAGGAACACCAAAAATTTTCAGCAAACCACCAGAAACTAGAAGAGAGGCATGGAACAGATTCTCCCTCACAGCCCTCACAAGGAACAAACCCTGGTGATACCTCAATTTCGGACTTCCAGCCTTCGGAACTCAGAGACAATACACGTATGTTGTTTTGACATCCAGTTGGTGGCACTTTGTTACAGCAGCCCTAGCAAACTAATGCACCTTTACAAATTACAAAGTACAACTTAAGCTTATAGGGCTGCTACCCTGTGGTTTGTTCTATAGCCATGTATCTGTTTTTAATTTCTTCATTCTTTTTTTTTAAATTTTTTATAGAGATGAGAGTCTTGCTATGTTTCCTAGTCTGGTCTTGATCTTCTAGCATCAAGCAATCCTTTGGCCTCAGCCTCTCAAAGTGCTGGGATTACAGGTGTAAGCCACCATGCTAGGCCTATTTCTTCATTCTTTATGTTCCAGAAACACATCCATGAAGACTTTGCTCAGGGGTCACCTTGTCTTGAATAAATTTTCCTATACCTGCCAAGATCTCTGATTATATGCACAATATTTTTGCTACTATATTGACCACATTGTATTACACATATTTGTTAAAAATTTTTTGTGATCTAAGAAAATGCTAAGTTCATTGAAGGCAGTGCCACATCTTAGTACTTAAATTCCTAGTATTTAGAGTTCCAGGAGTTCCTCAAGAATCTTTATTGAGTGAATAAATGAATTATTTTACAGAGTATACTGCACAGTTTGGGTACACCAAAATGCAGAAGCTAAAATGGGATTAGAGGTGTAAGAGATTTATTAAGAGGGGAGGAAAATAATAGACAGTGGGGAAAGGTTTCAGATTATAATGTGGTTTTGAGACCTATTGCGGGAGAAAGAAAAGGGAGGATTGGGTAGGAAGAGCCTGGGTGTGTGCACAGTTCCAAGAAAGTTTCTGTTGAACCAGCGAAAAGTTTTTGAGCGAAAGTTGCCCTTCGGAATATTCCCTCATCACATCTCAATGTGCCTACCTCTGCACTCCAGCTAAGCTATGGTATATATACCTGCAATCATTGTAGTTCTCTCATCAGGAATCTTGCACCCATAAAGCATGACTTCTACCAGCTTGAAGGGTAAATCTTTGTTCCATGCTGTTTTGCAATGTGTTTTTATTGTGCCCGGTACATATCCCAGAATGTCTCAGAGGAAAACAAGTGCCAAATTCTACAGTCAAATGATATCATCATGACAATTACAAAATGTGGTCAGTATAACTTTTTCATTGATACTCTCCAAGAAATGATCAACACTGCCATAGATGAGGAGCAGCTGCACCAATCTGGGCTTCCCACTGAGTCCATCCAGTACTATTTCACCCTGGTTCAGTAGCCCACCCCTGTCCAGGCCCACAGGCAGCAGCAAAACTAGCAGACCACCAGCTCCATGACCACCATCCGGCTCAGGCAGATCTTTACAGTGCAGCCTCAGAAGAGCCAAACAGGGAAGCTGCAGGTTGGGTAAGTTCAGCAGTTCGCACTGTCTAGATCCAGCCACAGGAGCAAATCCAGCAGACCCAGAATGGCCCAGGACAGAACATGCAGCTGATGCAATAGAACAGTACCAACAAAGCAAAGAACCTGCTGAAGCAAGACACCTGCTTATCCCTGCTGGTATCAGGCACTCAGACACTTTCTACCAGTGCTCAACAGAACATACAGACAGAAATCCAACCAGAACAGCAATCGTTCAGCCAGCTCCTAGATGAACGGCAGCTCTCTTGGACCCTGTGAGTGACCATGATAGCTGTCCAGGATGTCATCCAGTGCATGTTTATCCAATAAGCCAGCCAGTTTTGCCAGGACAAGCTCCTCGGGTGGGTGGTTACTGAGAGCCTGTACTGAAAAAGCCAAGGACACTCAAGACAATTTTCACCATGCAGCCTCAGGCATTGAGCACAGTCTCCATCTCCAAAGACATTGAACTCAGAGACACCGACTCTCTAACAGAAAGATGCAATAGTGTTGCTTCTTTTTTAATCGATATTTCGCTAAAGAATTAATAGGTTTGTCTTTGTTGTCAATCCTCTGACATGAAAATATTAAATAAAAGCATACCTTGTTTTATAGTGCTTCACTTTATTGTGCCTAACTTATATTGCATTTTTTTACCTATTGGAAAAAGTTGATTCCAACCCTCCTGGATTACTTTGAGGGGTTTAAGACTTCAGTACAGGAAGTTGTCGCAGATATGATAGAAATAGCAAGAGAACTAGAATTATAAGTGGAATCTGAGGATGTGATTGACTTGCTGCAATCTTGTGAGAAAACCTGAACCAACAGAGAGTTGCTTCTTATGGATGAGCAAAGAAAGCGGCTTCTTGAGATGAAATCTACTCCTGATGAAGATGCTGTGAAAATTGTTGTGATGACACCAATGGATTTGGAATATTCCATAAACTTAGTTGATAAACAGCTGCACAGTTTGAGAGAATTGACTCCAAGTTTGAAAACAGTTCCCCTTTGGGTAAAATGCTATCAAACAGCATCTCATGCTGCAGGGAAATCTTTCATAAAAGGAAGAATCAACTATTGATGCAGCAAATTTCATTATTGTCTTATTTTAAAAAACTGTCACAGACACCTCAACTTTCGGCCACCACCACCCTGATCAGTCAGCAGCCATCAACATCAAGGCAGGACCCTCCACCGGCAAAAAGATTACAACTCACTGAAGACTTAGATGACCATTAGCATTTTCAGCAATAAAGTATTTTTAATTAAGGTATGTACCGTTTTAGACATAATGCTATTACACCACATATATATATATATATATATATATATATATATATATATATAGACCACAGTATATTGTAAACATAACTTTTATATGCACTGGGAAGCAAAAAAAAATTGTATGACTCACTTTATTGAGATATTAGCATTACTGAAGTATTATAGAACCGAATCCACAAAATCTGTGAGTTCCTGTACTGTATTAGTCAGGGTTCTCTAGAGGGACAGAATGAATGGAAAAAATATATATATATATGGAAGTTTATTAAGTATTAACTCACACAATCACAAGATCCCGCAATAGGCCGTTTGCAGGCTAAAGAGCAAGGAGAAGCAGTTCGAGTTCTAAAATTGATGAACTTTGAGTCTGATGTTCAAGGGTAGGAAGCATCCGGCATGGGAGAAATATATAGGCTGGGAGCCCAGGCCAGTCTAACCTTTTCACATTTTTCTGCCTGCTTTATATTTGCTGGCAGCTGATTAAACGGTGCCCATTCAGATTAAGTTTGGGTCTGCCTTCCCCAGTCCACTGACTCAAATGTTAATCTCCTTTGGCAACACCCTCACAGACACACCCAGGATTAATACTTTGCATCCTTTGATCCAATCAAGTTGACATTTAGTATTAACCATCACATGTACCTATACCATATTAGTATACTGGTGTTTTCTTGAAGAGAGTGTATGCAAAATGTTTCATTTTGTTTTGTTTTTTCTCACTGCCAGTTCCTTAAAAGAGAAAATCTCTGCAGGGATGTGCATTACCATATCCCAACCGTTGGAAAAAGAGCTTAGAAGCGCTTTTTGATGACCTCCAGAGGCTATAGAAAAAAATGCATTTAAGAGATGAATTTATTATTCTCTAGGGAGAGTGGACTTTGTTTTTTCTCCAATCCCTTCTCTTGCAGAGACCCCATGGGACTAGAACTTTGCGTATCCATCCTACCCTCTTCACACACCCACACACACACTCACACACAGAGTTTTTCTAAAATTTTTTAAATGCATTAAATTTTTTTTCCTAGCTGCCTTTGATGCGTGGACTTCAGATTGCATGAACTACAGTAAGTCTTTTTTAGATAGGAAAACAAAACCGAAAACATGAAGAGAGTGAGGAGAAGCGAGGGAGAGAGAAGAAGGCAGAGGACAAATCACGGAGGACCTTGCATGGCCTGATAAAGAGGTTGGGTGTTATTCTATGGGAAGCGATAGAATAGATTCTGCCCAGTAATCTGATGCACATCTTTGAAAGATTACCCTACCTTCATTATGTAGACTGGATTACAGGGTGATGAACAGAAGCAGGAAAACCAGTTAGACATGTAATTCAATAGTTTAAGCCTGAAATAAGGTGGGTGACAGTGGATATAAAGACCTTTAAATGGATTGGATTAGATAAATCTTGGATGAAGAAAATACAGGGTTAGCTGTTGGATTGGACATAGTACATCAGAGAAAGAAAAGCAGTGAAATTTAGTACCAAGATTGTTGCCTTGACTAAATGAATGGATAGATATTAGTTCTATTTACTGAAATGGGGAAGGCTGGAACAGAGACAGGACTGGGGGAACAGCAAGAGTTTTGTTTGGGACAGACTAACTTTAAGGTACCTATTTAGAAGCAAATGGTTCCGTTTTTTCCTCTGAATGATGTCATTTGTATATGTATGTTTATTCAAAGTGCACTGATATTGAACAAATGGAAATTTAAATAGAAAATGTGTGGTTAGCTGAGAGCAATTATGAGCTAACACTGAAAGTGAGGCATAAAATTTGACCCTGACTGAATGAGATCTCCCAGGCATGCAGATGTCTTAATTCCTTGCAAAGAGTTGAGAGATTAGTAAATACTTTGTAATAGAGTCTGACTCCATTTTTGATGTTTGACTACTGACAACTTTAAGGTTTCACCGCTTTCTCTTCTCCTGCCCTACATGGGGGAAAGCTGATAAGAAAGCTGGGGTACCCCTTAGTTCAGTACTGGTGGGAAGCTCAAATCATGCAAGACTCAGTTCATGCTGGGGAGCCCTCACCCATCCTCACCCCCTCATCACAATAGAAAACAATCCATTCTCTTGCCATTTTTAGAGGCTGTCCCGCTTTTTCTCAGAAAGCCTGATTATGAGCATAGTAAACCTTTTCATACCCTCCTGGTGTGTGGGGGCTTTCACCTCTACTCTCCAGTTAAAATAGTTAATACTGCCTAATGTAAATTAAAATAGGATCTTAAAAGTTTGAAACCCATTATGCAAGACCTATTTAGAGAAGAGACATTTATCCTTTCTGGTCTTCCATATGCATCAATCGTCAGTTTTGTCATCTCAGCTATATTTTGCATGGGAGTCCATCTCACCTCTGCAAGATGACTTCAGGGATGGGCACAGTGAGCAGGAAGTCCAGGCAATGACCCCCACCACTGAGGGCTCTTGCTTTGCCTGCTAACTGTCTGTGCCCCCTTCTGGCAAGCTTGTGCTTTCAACCGTGCTGCTTTGTGTAAGCTTCGGTTAAAAATGTAACCAACCTGCCGGGCGCGGTGGCTCACGCCTGTAATCCCAGCACTTTGGGAGTCCGACGCGGGCAGATCACGAGGTCAGGCGATCGAGGCCATCCTGGCTAACACGGCGAAACCCTGTCTCTACTAAAAATACAAAAATTAGCCGCGCGTGGTGGCGGTCGCCTGTAGGCCCAGCTACTCGGGAGGCTGAGGCAGGAGAATGGCGTGAACCAGGGAGGCAGAGGCTGCAGTGAGCCGAGATTGCGCCACTGCACTCCAGCCTGGACAACAGAGCAAAACTCTGTCTCAAAAAAATAAAAAAATAAATGTAACCAACTTAAATTAGAAGCTGATAATTGGCATATGAGAATATGGGATTGGGGCCCTCCTTAAAGTGATCCTGGGTCATGTGTCTCAGCCTAGAGCATGTGTCTGAGATTAACTCATGTGCCTGGAGCCCAGCATAGTCCATGACTGATACTAGGCTAAGAGGAATAACTCCTATCCTGTCACCATTGTTGTTTGTCTCAACCAGGCACTGGCCACCATTCTAGAGAGTGCTTAGGAAATCACTGATACAACATGTAATATATGGGCACACTGGGTACTCACCTGGAGCACTCACAATGTGCTATGCAGAGGGCCACACTTCTAAAAGCAGTGGGCTCACTAGGACACTACAAAATGTTTTTGCTGCTGCTGCTACCTAAGCCGCTATTGCTCCAAAATAATCTCTAATATTGTGATATAATAAGATATATAAATATACATACATACATATGTATGTGTATATATTTTTTATAATATATTAAATATATTATAAATATATAATATAAAATATAATATATTAAATATATAATATAAAATATAATATATTAAATATATAATATAAAATATAATATATTAAATATATAATATAAAATATAATATATTAAATATATAATATAAAATATAATATATTAAATATATAATATAAAATATAATGTATTAAATATATAATATAAAATATAATGTATTAAATATATAATATAAAATATAATATATTAAATATATAATATATAATATATAAATATGTATTATATAAAAATATATATATATATATATATATATATATATATATATATATATATATAAAGTCAGACCTGTGGTATCTGACTTTAAGTCCAGGTAGATATGTGCATATATATATATATATATATATATGCTCCCTGTTCCTCAATTAGAGCTCCTTACACCTTTTATGCGGCGGTGCTAGGAGACTCTTTTGTTCTAATATTTGTTCTTTGACCCCTGGTTTCTGGCACAAAGCTCCTAACACCGTTGTCATTTAATGAGTGATAGGAGAGTCTGGCACAGAGCTCCTAAATCCCTTAAAATGTCCTAGGCAATAGGAGTCTCTTTTGTTCTAGTGCAGTGATTGCTTGTGGGCTTCTGGATAGCCTCGGAATGGGAGCCGGTTGCCAGAGGAACCAACCTGTAATAAAACGTTGGAACTTTCAGCCCCACCCCCTCAACCTCTGGGGAGGGGAGTAGGGCGGAAGGTTGAGTCAGTCAGCAATGGCCATAGATTTACTTAATCATGCCTACGTGATGAAGTCTCCACAGAAAACCTAAAGGACAGGGTTTGGAGGGCTTCTGGGTTGTTGAACACATGGGGGTACCTGGAGGGTGGGACACCTGGAGAGGGCATGGAAGCTCCACACTCCTTCCCCCACACCTTGCCCTGTGCATCTCTTCATCTGTTTCTTTTGTAATATCCTTTATAATAAACCAGCAAATGTGTTTCTCTAAGCTCTGTGAGCTGCTCTAACAAATTAATTGAACCTGAGGAGAGGGTCCTGGGAACCCTGGATTTATAGCAGGTCAGTCAGAAGTGTAGATGACAACCTGTTAATATTACCTGCTATAGGAATCTGCAGTGGGGGCAGCCTTGTAGGACTGAGCTCTTAACCTGTGGGATCTGACTTAAACTCCAGGTAGATATGTCAGAACTGAATGAATTCTAGGACACCCAGTTTGTATCCACTGCAGAATTGCTTGGTGTAGCAGGGAAAACCCCACACATATGGTGTCATAAATGTTGAGTGACTGTGTAAGAGAGTACGAAAACACAGTTTGTTTTTTCCTTCAGAATTGGTGTCAGTGAAGTGAGATTTGCTGGAATGGCTGTGACTCACTGAAACATGTGGCTGGGGATGAAAAAGGATAGCCTTTGATTAGAGAAAGGAGAAGTCATTGATTCCTGGGTGGCCATGTGGTCATCCTTGGTACGGAGCAGCAGCTGTGCTGAGTTACTGAAGGTCAAAGTGACCAGTGAATTTGAGGAAAGGAGCCAACTCCCAGGGAGTTGGTTCACTGGACGCACAGAGAAATGCAACCTAATTTTTAAAAAACAAATTGTTGAGTGTGTGAGAGTAGGAATTACACTTTTTTTTTTTTATTTCTATAGAACCTGATCCTCAGTGTTACAGGAATAAACATTCATGCTTCCACCCTTATGTCCCCACCTCCTGTGGCACATCCAAGGACTTAATTTTAATCAACTGGCTTCCTTAAATCCAATAAAGCAACAATTGTCATGGGTGAAGCCCCTAACCTTAAAGATAATAATTTGATACTCTCCAACAGGAAGAAGCTTAAAAATATGAGCAGGGAAAACATAACTCTCTCCCAACAAATTATATCCTATAACCAAATACACACATATATAAATCCTAGATACCAAGGAGGAAACAAAAGCCCAAAACAGTGGGCATAATTTGACTCAATCAGGAATGAAAAATTTATTCGTATAATTTATATAACAAAAACATAAAAGTATTTGTTTTCCCCTATACAATGTAGGTTCTAAATTAATTTAGCATGTACTGAGATGGAACAATTGGCAAAATTTTATGACACTAATTAATACCGAATTCAAATTACAGTTATACTCAAGAATCCCATTAAATTTAACCAAGATATACGTAAAATCTGAAGAGAATTATTGAACATAAAAGAGAACTGCCTCACCATAACCACTGCAAAAAATACATTACCTAAATTCTTCATAATCATATAACCCATTACTCTAAAACATGTTCTGTGGACACGGACACTGACCCATCGCATAATAAGCTGTAATTAGATGGAGTCCTTGTCATGTAAAATAGGCTTGGTAAGTTGCAGCTCTATAGACCTCCCTCCCTACTGTCCAGCTAAAATACTTAATACAAATTGATATAAATTAAAGCACAGTCTTTGAGGAGTGAAACCTATTATAAAGTCCAATGTCGGAAGATGTTTATCCCCACTGTTTCTCCAGTAACAGCCCAGTTTGGACTGTTCTTAAATGTAGAAAGAATTAATGGTGCCCCATGGTGGATTACCACAACCTTAACGCCATCGTCCCACCTGTGAAGGCCCCTAAGCCCAACACAGAGTCAGTAGATTATGTCCAATCAGCAAGCAGTAAGCACTTCACAGTCAGAGATATTACTAATATGTTCCTCGGTAAGCACTTTGCAGTCAGAGATATTACTAATATGTTCCTCTGTTCAGTGCCATTTTCAACAGCCACGCTTGGCCTTAACCTTCAAAGGGACACAATATGTCTTTACCAAGCTACTCGTAGGGCACTTGCACAACTCTATCCTTGCACACAGTCCTTGCAGCCTAGGCTTTAACCACGTCCAACTTTCTCCAGCAGCACAGACACAGCATTGTACTGATCATACCCTACTCTGGGGAGATTCATTTGACACACTCACTGAGGACACGCAAATGCTCCCAAAAAGAAGATAGGCATTTCTCTGCACATAGGACAAGGCCCTGCACACCAGTTAAATTTGTGAAAATTATTGGGTAAGCTGAAGACTTCTCTATCTGTAAGAAATAGCAATCGACTCTCTCAGAACCCACAATGTTAAAAGAAGCTCAACTTTTACAACTTTTCAGGATCTGGAGGCAACATATTTCTATGTTTACATTTTTTATATATTTCGATGTTTACATTCTCATTATAAATTTTACTGATGCCTATTTATGCTGTTGCAAATTGTTCCTTCTGGAATTGTGTCCTCTCAACCAAAGAACTCTAGAATCTGGTCAAATTGCAATACAATAGGCACTCCCATTGGTGATCCTTCTCCGCGCCCCAGAAAAATCCTTCACTGTAGAGGCTTTAGCAATCTCTTCTCAAACCTTCAAACCCCTTAACTACCTGGGAATCCCTTGGGATTTAATGAATGAACAGCAATGCGGGTTATTACACTTTATGTAGAGTATTAAAACTATACATGATGTGTCTTACTGAGGAGGTGCTGCTTTTCATCCCTTAATCCAGACATTCTGATAAAGAGTGTGATCTAAGGGCCAGTATATTTAGCTGAACTTTAGGCACTCAATTTGGGCAACAATTGGCTCCATCTATGCACTTTTACAGGCCATTGCCAGTGGTCTAGCCCTCTAGTTCTGCCAATGGTAGCAACAACTAGTTATCCAAGATTTGCTCCTTTGAGGAAAATAACTGTGGGACTCTCTTGCCACACAGATACTCAAAATATGTTAAGGTTACACATGTCTCAGTGCATACTAAAGCCACAATACAAAGCCTTCCTTTATACCCTTCAGAATTCCAGATATTGTTCATAATGACCAAGGCACTCATTTTACTTCTCAAAATACACAATGCTGGGCTCTCAAACAAGGTGTTCAGTGAACTTTCACTGCCCTTACCAGTTTCAGGTGACAGGCCTGAGAGAGCACTATTATGGTACACTGAAGCTAAAATTTAATTAAATGAAACATGATGTATTTCAGTCGTCAGTCAAGCAACAGGGATAAATTGTAATAAAAATTAGGACTGCATTTTTTTTTTATGTTTAACAGCTGAAGGCTTTCAAGCCCCACTCTTCTGCCCCATATCTGTGCTAGCTGATAAGAAAGCCCATATGCTCCCTTATTTGGTGTGGCAGGACATTCAAAATATCCAAGCCCCAGCCCAGATGTGGGAATCCTCCCCTCGGCCCCACCCCCTAATTATAATAAAAGCCATGCTAGTCTCTTTCCTCACCTTCAAGCCATTTTCAGATCTGCTTGAAAGACTGCCTCTCGTACCCCCCTCCTAACCCTCATTACGTAAGTAAATAAACCTTCATACTCTCTCAGTGCATATGTGGCACCATTAGTCCTGACATCCAGAGCAAATTTTGAGTGGGATGACTACAACAAATTTTCTCCTAAATGTTTAATACCTCGACAAACAGTGGGCTCATCAAAATCAGGGCTTATGATTGCATAAGACACTTTGATGTAAGTTTGCAATTTTCGCTGTAATTTGAGTTGACTGCCAGTTGGAAAATTTCTGAATTCTCTATTCCAAAGGGTAATTATCAACTAAGAACAGAAATTCAACTATGTTTTCATTTTGTGTTTCTCAAATTGACTATTTGTGTATTTATTTCTCATCTGTCACTTTTAGGCAAAATTGAGGGAGAGCTCACACCTACTCCCAATCCCTACTTCTTTTCAACCTGTTTACTATGCTGCTGCAGAATGAGCTAAGTTATTATACTAGGCTTCATCATGAAATAAACTAACATGTTTAAAATTGGAGGTATTCTAAGCTGGGTCCCAGACATTCCTAAACAGTTCTGAGGCTGGAATTTGAATGACTCAGATGTTCAGGATTGAGCTGACTTTTCTCTCAGTCTGGCATCACCACTTCTATCTCAAGAGTTTCATTACTATAATGCTGTTCAATAAACAGATTTGTTTTTAGGCACAGAATTTTAGTCTATTTGATGATAAACCTAGAGTACAAAACATGAAATAAATATTTCTATTATGTATATATTATAATCATATAAATTATACATTTGTATAATTATGTACTAAGTGGCTAGACACATTTTTAGTGTTGTGGCAACAATTAGGAAAATATGTGGCTTCTTAGCACCTCATCTGATGAGCTTTCTATTTCACCTGTATTAGAATCTCATGGGTGTAACTATAGAGTATTTGGAGAAAAGATATCCAACCCCCTTTGAATATATTCAAGGGCAAAAAACATATATTAAGTTTGAGCGTTAAGAATTTTTATCCCATTTCAAAATTTCAGATAGTCATCAAATATGTCTAAAATTAATAATAGATAACTTTCTACTTGAAACTGTGTATTGCCTAGAAATATATTTTTATGTTAATTGTTTAAAGTGAAAAATGCATACTTCCTGGAAGGATCTCTTATTAAAAAGCTTTACGCTAATTTGCCACTGAGGAAAAGAATGTGTATATATACATGCTGAAAGGAAATGCAACCCCTGGAGAGGTAAGAGTAAAATTACAGAAAACAGCTACTCAGAACACTGACAGATTACAGAATTCTAGAAGATTATTTTCTTCTTTTGGTGGAGAAGATACATTCAGTTTCATTGTTTGGAAGCCCTTCTTTGTTATCCATGAAAGTTTCATTGAGCACCATCACGTGTAAGGCACTGTGCTAAACACCAAGGATATGATGAATGATGGAGGGAGTCTCTACACTTGCGTTGCTCACAAGTAAGAGAGAAAAGCATATTAATTAAGCCACAAGTGTCATAAAATGAACTTTTATATTAACGTCATATGTAAATTTTATATTAATGTCATAGAGCATACAGACTACTGACTTTAATTCTGAATAGTAAGTGCTTAAAGATCATGAGTGCAAAGGTGAGGTTATGAGCACAAATGTTGGATTTAAGCATATGCCAAACTACAAGATTATTTCAATGGATGCAGGAAAAAACTGACAAAATACGAAACACTTTTATGATACAAACATTCAATAAACTAAGAATTACAGAGAACTTTCCCAACATGAAAATGCCATATATGAAAACCCATAAGTAAAATCATTCCCAGTGGTCAAAGACTGCAAGTTCTTCCCTAAGATCAGGAACAAAACAAAGATTCCACTTTCACACCTTCTATTCAATATAGCTCTGGAAGTGATAGCCATAGCAATTATGCAAAGATAGAAAGGCATTCAAATTGGAAAGGAACACATAAAATTATCTCTGTTGTAGATACACTCTTATACCTAGAAAACCCTAAAGAATCTGTCTCTTTTCATCGTTAGAGCTAATAAATGAGTTCAGCAAAGTTGCAGTATACAAAACCAGCATGCAAAAATCAACTGTATGTTTATACAATAGAAATGAACAATCCAAAAAGAATTTTTTAAAAAAATTTAATTTACAATGGCAACCAAAAGAATAAAACACTTACGAATACATTGAACAAAGGAGGCACAAAACTTACATGGTAAAGATCACAAAACACTGACAAAATAAATTTTTAAAAGACGTAAAGACATCAATGTGCGTGAATTGGAATGCTCAATATTGTTGTGATGACAATATTACCCAAAGATATATACAGATTAAATGCAATCCCTATCAAAAGTCCAATGGCATTTTTTACAGAAATAGAAAAACCTATCCTAAAATTCATATGGAATCCCAAGGAACCATGAATAGCCAAAACAATCTTGAACAAAAAGGATAGAGATTCCATGTTTCATGATTTCAAAACTTACTCAAAGCACAGTAATAAAAATATTATGGTACTGGAGTAAGGACAGACACAGAGACCAATGGAACAGAATTTAGAGTTCAGAAATAAACTCTTATTTCTATGACCAACTGATTTTTCACAAGGGTGCTAAGACCATTCAATGGGGGAAAGAACAGAATCTTCAACAATCATATGGGAAAGACTGTATCACCACATACAAAAGAATGAAATTAGACCCTTACACCATAAACAAAAGACTAACTCAAAATGGATTAAATACATAACTATAAGATGTGTGACTATAAAACTCTTAGAAGAAAATATATGGGCAAACTTGCATGATCTTAGATTTGGTGATGATTTCTTACATATGACACCAAAAGCATAGGCAATAAAAGAAGAAATAGAAAAACTGAACTTTATGAAAATTAAAAACTTGTGTGTATAAAAAGACACTATCAAGAGACTGAAAAACCCACAGAACAAGAGAAAATACTTGCAAATCATATATCTGATAAGAATTTACTATCCAAAATATAAAAATAATTCCTCCAGCACTTTGGGACACCAAGGCAGGTGGATCACAAGGTCAGGAGATCGAGACCATCCTGGCTAACACGGTGAAACCCCGTCTCTACTAAAAATACAAAAAATTAGCTGGGCGTGGTGGCAGGCACCTGTAGTCCCAGCTGCTTGGGAGGCTGAGGCAGGAGAATGGTGTGAACCCGGGAGGTGGAGCTTGCAGTGAGGCGAGATCGTGCCACTGCATTCCAGCCTGGGTGACAGAGTGAGACTCCATCTCAAAAAAAAAAAATAAATAATAATAATAATAATCCTGAAACTCAATAAAATAGACAACTCAATTTGAAAATGGGCAGAGGATTTGAATAGACATTTTGCTAAATGAGATACACAAATGAACATTAATCACATGAAAAACTGTTTAGCATCATTAGGGATTTGGAAATTATAAGTCAAAGTACAATGAGATGCCACTCCACAACTACCAAAATGGCTATAACTTTTGAAGGGGAAAATAAAAAGTGTTGGCAAGGACGTGAAAAAATCCGAATCCTTGTAGCTTGCTGGTGGAAATGTAAAACGTTGCAACTGCTGTAGAAATAATGTGTCACTTCCTCAAAAAGCTAAACATAGAATTACCACGTGATCCAGCAATTCTACTTCTAAGTATGGACCCAAAAGAATCGAAAGCAGGTGCACAAACAGATACTTGTATGCCAGTGTTCATAGCAGCATTACGCACAATAGCCAAAAAGTGGGAGCAATGCAAGTGTCCCTCAGCAGATGAATGAATACACATACACGTTACACGTACATGTTACATATACCTACAATGGAATATTACTCAGCTATAAAAATGAGGTTCTGATACATGCTACAACTTGGATGAACCTCGACACTAAGCCAGACACAAAATGACAAAGACTGCATGATTGCACTGATATGAAGTATCTCAAATAAGCAAATTTATAGCAATAGAAAGTACATTCGAGGTGACCAGGTACCAGGGGGAGAGGAGAATGGGGAGTTATTGCTGAACGGGTTGAGTTTCTGTTTGAGGTGATAAAAAATTCTGAAAACAGTGGTGATGGTTGCACAACATTATGGATGTCATGCTACTGAATGGTACTATTAATAACAGTTCAAGTGGCAAATTTCTGTTATGTAGATTTTACCCCAAGAAAAACAAAAGGAAAAAAAAGCAAGGTGCTGAAGAGAGCACATAATAAACTATCTTTGGTGTTCGTATTTGCATAAAACAGCACTGGAATAATACATAAGAAATTAAAGTAAGTGGTTATTTATAGGTAACATCAATATTCAGCCCCTACCCAATAATAAAGTTGTATTGGTTAAAGTACAGAAATACTTCTGGTGGGTAAATGTCCACTCCCTGATTCCGTGAGTTCTCTCCTCCTGTGCTCTCATCCCAAGATACCTGTCTGCACCATGGCCCAGCAAGTAAAGAGTTAACCCTGGCAGGACAGGGGTCTGGTAGGTTAGTCTAGAATGAGGTTGAATAGTTACAGGGTAGAGGGGAGACTCTACAAACTAAACTTTCTAATATTCTTTCAACTTTTGAGTCATAAAGACAGGACAATAAAATTTGAGAGCTGAATGAAGACGACGAAGAAGCGGGAGAGTATGCCAGGTGAAAAGGGAAGTTAAGAGAACCAACGCAAATGTCCAACAATCATAGACTGGATTAAGAAAATCTGGCACATATACACCATGGAATACTATGCAGCCATAAAAAATGATGAGTTCATGTCCTTTGTAGGGACATGGGTGAAATTGGAAACCATCATTCTCAGTAAACTATCGCAAGAACAAAAAACCAAACACCGCATATTCTCACTCATAGGTGGGAATTGAACAATGAGATCACACGGACACAGGAAGGGGAATATCACACTCTGGGGACTGTGGTGGGGTGGGGGGAGGGGGGAGGGATAGCATTGGGAGATATACCTAATGCTAGATGACGAGTTAGTGGGTGCAGCGCACCAGCATGGCACATGTATACATATGTAACTAACCTGCACAATGTGCACAGGTACCCTAAAACTTAAAGTATAATAAAAAAAAAAAAAGAGAGAATTTAGGGGAAACAAATGTGCACATAGAAACCATAGTGACACAAAAGAGCTCAGGGAAGTAATGTAGAGACGCTTGAATATAGTGGGGAGGGATTACATGAGAATAGAAAGGTAAAGTTGGGCCAGATGTTAAAGAACCACTATGTGACCTTAATTAGTTTGAAATATTTCCATATCAGAGATAAACAACTTAGAGTTTTGTTTTGTTTTAAATCAACAGAATTACTTGAACAGATTTGTGTGTTAGAAAAATAATTCTGGGCTCCTGGGCACAGTGGCTCGTGCCTGCAATCCCAGCACTTGGGAAGGCTGAGACAGGAGGATTGCTTGAGCTCAGGAATTCCAGACCAGTCTGGGCAACATAGCAAAATTTCTCTACTGAAAATACAAATAAAGAAATTTAGCCAGGCGTGGCGGCACGCACCTGTAGTCCCAGCTGCTGGGGAGGCTGAGGTGAGAGGATCACCTGAATCCTAGAGGTTGAGGCTGCAGTAAGCAGTAATTGCACCACTGCATTCCAGCCTGGGTGATAGAGCCAGACCCTGTCTCAATAATAAATAAGTAACAAATTTAAAAAATAGTAATTCTGAGAACTGTATGCTGACATTTGGGAACTGTATGCTGAAAGTCTTGCTGAAAAATAGCTTGGGGTTGAGTTGAAAAATAAAAAGGAAGAACAAAAGATGACTCAGATTTCTAGCTTGGTTGACTAAAAGGGTGGAGCATGCCCTTTAATGGGGGAATTCTAAAGGGAAAATTATTCAGAATTTTGATTATGTAAAACATGAATATATTGAGATGTCAAAGATAAAGCATGACATAATATGGATTTCAAATAAAAGGTTATTATGAAAATGGTAATGGTTATTTTCCATTTAGAATGACTTACTAAGGGGAAATATGCTAAATTTTATGGGGGAAAAAAATAGTATCTTTATACATAAATGAAGGTCTTAACGCAAAGAGTAATACTGAAGTACAATACTAAAACTCTTCTGTGCTGATTTTTGCAAACAAATTTCTTTTTCACTGAGATAATTCAGGTGTTGGACATGTAGAAAAGTGATCTCCAGGTAATGCCACTAATTCCATGGTTTTATATTTTTATAGAGGAAATAGATAATAAATGGCTTCTCAGAATGCCATCTAACATTTTTCTCCATAAATGTGTTTTCAAAATGCCATGGTATTCCTTGTGGAATAATACTGTTTCCTCATTACATAAATTTGGATGAACAACAGAAGGTTCATAAAATCTTCACGACCAAAATGGCTATCTAGATAATTTGTTTAAGCGTTCTTCTCTCAAAACTCAACACCTAACCCCAGCTTTACTTCTTCTTCCCCTTACAGCTAAATATTTCAAGGAGTACCCTATATCCATTCATTATTTACTTACATTTTTCCTCAATCTATTTTGTCTGCCCCATTTGTATAAGTGAAATGGCTTTTGCTAAGGTCAGCAGTGCCCAATACATGACTAAATCATCTTTACATGGCTTCTCTGTTGATTGATGTGGTTAGACAACTATCCTTCTTTAAATATTCATTCCTTAGCATCTATGACACTATACATTCCTGATTTCCTTGATCCACTTGATAACTTTTTTCACAATCTTTTCTGCAGGTTTATTTTTCTCTACTTAGCCATTAATTGGCATTTCTCAAGAGTTTGTATCAACCCTGCTTCTCTTCTTATTCATTTCCAAAAACGCTTGACAATCTACGGCTTCAACTTCCAGCTATATGCCATTGATCCCCACCCTTCCCCCAGTCCTACCCCAATTTATTTTGCACCTCTAGGCTATACCTTTCCTCTGAAGCGCAAAAACAAATAATCAAATGTTTCTTCAAACTGTCAATGTGTATGTCCCAAATGCACCTTATATGTCCAAATAATCATACTCTTCAACAGTTCCATCAAACATAGTCCTCTTCTGGTGTTCCTGTCTTAATGAAATTAATGATCATTCATCCGGGCGCACAAGTCAGAGCCTTAATAACATTTCAAACATCTACTATTTATTAATTCCCCATAGCCATTTGATCGCCAAAGACAGTTATTACTTTTTAAGTTTCTCTTACATCCCCATACTACTTTGCTTCTGTACCATCAACATCCTGGCCCAAACTACCAACATAGTTCTCTTGGAATTTTGTAAAAGTTTTTATAACTATTCCAACTACAACAGTGCCTTCTATAATAGGAAAAAAAAAGTGAAAGTTCTTAGTCCTCAAATCTGTGAAGGAAGCATAGTAAAGTCTTAAGTTAGTTTCCCAAGTGCCTGTAGAAATTATGGTAATTACTCAAATACACAACAAAGACATCTATCCACATTACACATTATCATTAACAATCACCAGCTCTGGTTTGATTAGAGTAAGTCGCTTGAGAAATGGCAGAGAAAATGGTAAATGACAAGCACTATTTCCATCTCGCTGCAACTTCTGCTCTGTCTCTGATCTTTCAAAACCAGAGTATCTGATATGACTTTTCTCAGTCAGTCTTTTCCAGATTATTCTGGGGTCATCTGAAAGCCTGGGAAAGTCTTGATGTGCTTCTCCAATACGGGTGAGAAAGTCTTTGGTATGAAGATGTTCATCTATTCTCTCTTGGAGTAGAAATGACTCCAGTAAAGTCTTCTTTTGTTTCAGAAAGGCAGACAGGGCCAGCTCCGCTCTTTTCCTGTTACAATAGGGACACTGATAAGATATGTGTTGCTTAGCTGCTGCCTCCTGTTTTGGCGTTGTCCTCATGTTTTTAAAGTAGATTCTGTTCAAAAGTTCATCGGGTACAGTACAACTAAAGGCATCTCTCTCTGAAGCCTCTACATCCAATCCAAGATGCAGCTTTTTATGTCTGCTGCTCGTCTTCTTCTTAGAATCCCCTCTACGATGAATCAAATTTATCTTCATGGTGCAATAAGACTGCAGGGCATTCAATTCTTCATCTGATACCCGAGTGATTTCTGTTGGAAGTTTGGTGTCTGGTTGGTGCCGTTCAAAGTTAGAGTCTTTGAGCTTGAGGTAGTTGATCCATTTTTTACTCAACTTCTTTTCATAATTTTTATAGTCCAAAAGCTCAGATTGTGTGTCTCCTTGTTCCAAGCTTGGAGTCTGCTTTTCCCTCTCCAGTTTGCTCCCAGAGGTCAGGGGCGAGGACTGCCGTCCTCCAGAGGAGCTGAATGAGCTGGAAGTCTGTACCTCATCAGTAGAGTTCTTCAAAGTCTCAGTCTCATCAGAAAGGTTTGCAAGAGCACTTTTGTCCGTTTGGGCCAATTCTGGGCAGATGGCCATCACAATGCATCAGGCTCGGCTCCTCATCTCCTTTGCCCAGGTTAAGACTGGCTCAGGAACCCGTCAGGAGCTGACCCCTCCGGGAATGGATCTCAATGCCATCAGCTCTGCGGAGGTCGTCTTCCGGGAGACGCCTTCCCAGCTGTCTTGGCAACGCGGGCCGCTCATGCGCAGTGACTGGCCACCATGCGGCGTCCCGCCTTTTCCTCCGCGCTCCCCAGCGCCCACTGCGCTTGCGCTGCTTGCGCCGGGTTGGCGATTTTGCCCTGTCTTCTGCACTCCTGCTTCTCTTTGGTGCTAAAGTCGAGTAGTCAACGGGAAAACCTTGCAAACTCTGTTTCCCAGGGGTCAGACAGGTGGCACACGTGTGTGAGACCAATAGAGTTAGGTGGCCTGTGACAAATCCGAACGTGTACGCCCGCCTAAATGCATCTAGATTTAAAAATCAAGCAAAACGCGCTGGACAAGATGCACAAGCAAAAACTTGTCTGCAGTGTTTATAGCCAAGAGACACCTCCTTGTAGAGCATGTCTTTGGGGAAAAGTCAAAATACAGAAACCATTCTGTAAGAAGTAGTGTTCTGTGCTCCAGCATTCTGAGGACCTCGAAGTTTGGGCGGGGTCGGGGGTGGGGAGCAGGGGCGGGGGAGGACCTTAATTTTCCAAATCAGTTTCTCTGGCCTTTTGTCCATACAGGTCCCCTCTGGCTAGCATATCCACGCCCGTCCTCACTCTTAATATCGTTAATTTATCCTCCTCCTCCGAGTCCCATTTCCTCAGGAAGGGCTTAATACCCACCCCTGCCTTAAACTCTTTCCAGCATTTTTTTTTAAATAGTGTCCAACTATGTGATTGTATGAGTATCTGATTATGAAGGCTGAAGGCAGAAATCATGTCGGTGTTGCCGACTAGTATGAGCCCAGCAATCAGCAGACACATAGCAGGTGTTCAAGAAATCTCTGTTGAGTGAATGGCTATGGAACAAATAAATCTTACCTTACACACGTCCAGAGGATTTGGAGAAATAAGTACTATAAGTTCAGGGAACTCTAACCTTTTTTCTAACTGAATCCCCAAACTTAGGCTATTACACAGGATATATTTTTTATTAATGGATTCATTTAAAAAACACAGTAGAGTTTTATTAATTATCGTGAGAAATTATAAAATGTTAACTCTAGAGATGGACTTTTCCTAGGTTATAATAGTTCTTGAGTCTAGGACTTAGTCAATGTCTAGGATAATTTTAAGAGCCTAGACACCCTTCTTTCTCAGTTTTGTCTCTCTCTCTCTTTCTTCCTGTGTTTCTTGGGGATTGGGGGGTATTATTCAGGTCTAGCCAGATATATTCCCCAAATGTTCATTCTGGCAAAAAGTGAAAGTCAAATATTCAAAAAGCATCTCTCAAGTATATGAGCCAGCTTCCTGTTGAAGATAAGGAGACTCCAACTTCATTTATTCAACCCAAATTTTATTTTATCATATAATGGTAGTCTTTAAAAAAGAGGTGGCATGTAATTTGTGAGTAACTCCAAGTAATTTCCAATAGGGCTCAATATTTTCCTTATTTATTATTTCAAATCTCTGCCTCATTCTCTGAATATTTACACATTCATATTTACACACTATTCATGTTTTAGCTATATCTTATCCATAACATTGAACAAGGGAGCTATACTTAAAATAAAATCTATCTGTGTCTTCTAACATGCCAAATGTCTGGGGTAATCTGTCTTTTTTATAATCGTGTCTTAAATTTCTCTTGATTTTTAAAAATAACTTTATCCTAGAAGGAGATATATGTGGGTGGGAAATTCTATAATTAATTTCCTTGTAATATTCAGCGTGACCCAGTGGACAGTTTTACATTCTAGTAAGTGTGTTATCTAAGGAAGAAAATTTCTCAACAGTACTATATTTATCAAATAAGATTCATGAAAACACAGGTCAAAGTTTGATTTTAAACAAATATGAAGAGTAATAGTTTTCCTTTGGAAATCTCAATCTTCTTGCCATCTCTCAGGGGCTGTTGGGAATGTCAAAATGCTTTGTGGACCAAGCTGTGGCTGAAGGCTGCTTGTGGTGGGGATTGGGAGATATGAAGAATAGAAAAGAGAGTCCAGTCAGGCTCTCTTGGCCTAACCTTGCTATGCCCCTCCTGTTACTGTTCTGCAGCTACTTTCTCTTCTTCCTAGTTCCTATCAGAGAGCAGGGCCAAGGGTCTTCTCCCAGCTTTTTCCTTAATGATCAAGAATGCTTTGCAGCTATAAGGCCAACCCCAGAAAGAGGAAGTCAAAACAAATTCATGATTCCCCTTCTCTCTTGCTTTCCTTTCCTATGGAGGGAGAAAAGCAAACTTTCAGCATCTGTCACTCTGGCAAGCAATTCTCCCCCCAGATATCATAAACGTTTCCATGATGAGTTGGCATTTGGCAGGTACCTCTTCCTGGTGGTGTGCAGTGTACAAAGTGGGAGTCTAGTTTAAGTATAAGAGAGACTACGATGACAGAGCCTTCAAAAATATTCTACCCTTTACATCAACTTCTCAAGTAACGCTGTGCTTGGTTCTGTAGATGCAGCAAGATGAAATGTTTAGCTGTTCTCCTAGGGGGCTAAGTTGAATGTGACAAGAATCTCACTGTAATGGCCATTTTTGTGAAGGAAAGAATCGTATATCACTCAAGATGAAAAATGATTTTATTTATAGTTGTTCAATTTTTTTGTGGTTCAGTACTTGTTCTTTATCTGTAAAATGTTTTTACCTCACAATTATCTCCATCTTTCTATTCTGTTTTCTGCATCTTTGGTGTTATTATCTTTTTTCTGAAATTGATTAATTGCCTTGTGAATAGCTGCCTTCTACTTTAATAGCTATTTTTTTGCAAAAGTAATAATATAGGTTTACTGCAGATTTTTAAAAAAGAAAATGATAAGCCACAAATACTGATTTTAAGCAAAAGCTACCTATATTCTGACTTCCCAAAGATAATTACTATAAACATTGATAAAGTGTTGTAATATTTTTCTTGAATTTCTTAATTAAAATCTAGATTATACTGAATTTTGGTTTTATGAACAATTTTTTCCAGTT
The DNA here is from genome assembly GCF_000001405.40 of Homo sapiens. Lineage (NCBI taxonomy): Eukaryota > Metazoa > Chordata > Mammalia > Primates > Hominidae > Homo > Homo sapiens. Next base: position 13,563,901 of record NC_000008.11, on the reverse strand, counting down.
AGTAATAAAATGAACCTTTCCATTCATTGTAAAAATTATTTTCAACATAATTTTAAAGGTGGTTTTGCATTATTTGATTCGTTTAACAAATACATTCAGATGCAAGGTATTTCTAGTTTTTTTGCTATGAAAAATTATTCCTTTAGCTAAATCTTTACATACATTTCTAGCTATATGTTTAGGATAAATTCCAGAAATCATAATTCGTGGGTCAAAATGTATGCACATTTTTAATGCTTTTGAGATCTGTTTCTCCTCTATAGATTAAATTGACAGATCCTTCAAAAATATTCTACCCTTTACACCAATTCTGCAAGTGTCACTGTGCAAGGTTCTGTGAATCAAGCAAGTCTCTTCTCCTAAGAGACTAAGTTAAAGATGCCAGGAATCTCGCTGTGAGGAGCTGATTCTTTCTGGAGGAAAGAATCTTACATCACTCATGATTTTTTAAAAATTATTTTAATTTATAGTTTCTGTACATCATTTTTTCTAGGATATAATGTTCTTTTGTCCATAAATACTTTGTTTTATATCTCTTACAAGTTAGGCCTTTTTAAAAACAGCCACATTGTGACCACATCTAGCAAGTGACGATAAATCCTTAATATCATCTAATAATTATTCTGTGTTCAAATTTATCTGACTGCCTCAAGAATGCCTTTTTGCAAGTTGAAGTGTTAGAATCAGGATCCAAACAAGGTCCACTGACTGCATTTGGCTAACGTAGTCCTCAAAGGTTTTACTTCCTAACACTTCCGAAGTACAAATAATTTTTATAAATGAAAAAGTAAAAAGGAGCAGGAAGAGAAGTTTAGTTTTCTTCTCTGTTCTTGCCATTACGTTCCCTATAGATAATCATAATTTTAGAGTTTTCGATTATCTTTCAAAAATGTTTTGAAAATATAAATACGTCTCTCATACATGTGTTCCTCTCTTGTTATAAAAACACATTGACATACTCTACACATTGCTTTATGGCGTTTTTTTTTTGTTTTTTTCTTAAAAATATATTCTAGATACCACTTTACAACAGCATATAGACATCATTCTCATTTATTTCTAAGATTGCATAGTATTTCATTGTAGAAATGTAATGTATTTTATTCACACATTTTGACGGGCATTTTGCTATTATAAGAAATCAAAATTTGCTTTGTATCTGTGGAGATATATTTTCAAGATGAATTTTAGGAATGAGATTACTATATCAAAGATGAAGACATATGTAGTTTTCTACTTACTTCCAAATCCCCCTCCACAGGCAGTACACATATGACATTTCTGCCAGCAATGTATGGGAGCATCTGTTCCCAAAAGCCTGGCCAGCAGGGTATGTTCTCAAATGTATGGATTCTTGCCAATCTAAAGGATAAGAAATGATATCTCAGCGTAATTTTAAATTGAATTCTTCTTATTAGCAGTAAGAATGAACACCATTTCATGTGCATAAAGGCCACTTACATTTCTTTTTCTTTTTATGTGTACCATATATTCTTTTACCTATTTTTATATAAATTTTGTTTTTTTCTTTTCAATTCTCAAGAGTCACTTCATATGTTGGAAATATTATTTATTTGTCTGTGACTTGGTTCCAAATAGCTCTTCTCAGTTTGTCTATTTGTCTATGCTGTGTTTTGCCATGTAAAAGTTTGATTTTTCTCTCATATATCAAATGTATCAATCTTTTTCCTACTTGCCCTTGGATTGTTTACACTAGTTTTTATTTTATTTTGTTAGTTATTTTTTATTTAAATTGACCCGATTACTTCTTTTAGTGTACAGCTCTGTGAATTTTAACACATATATGGGTTCTGTAACCACCACCAAAATCAAGGTGCAGAATCCCCTGTTCTATCTCCTTTTTTGGCATACCTTCAACCTACCCGTAACTCCTGTCTTTAGTACTTTTTCCATTGATTTTTTTCCTGTGTTTTCCAAATATATAATCATATTATCTATAAGTTAAGATAGCCTCTTGCTTTCTAATTTTTATGTCAGTAATTGCTTTGTCTTTGATATCTAATTTCTTTGACTAATACCTCCAACACATTTTGAACTAGTAGTAGAGTTAATAACCTTACCCATTTTTAAAATTGGATATTTATCTTTGTCTTGGATTTATGAAACATATATAAAATTTATCATAGTTCTGTAATGTTTTGAATTTAAAAATTCAAGCAGTCAGAATTACCTACATGATATAAAATTTCCCTGTAAACTGCTATTATTGCAAAGCTCTGGTAGGTAGATAAGCAGGTAAATGAATAGACAGATGAAGAAATAAATAAATTAATAAAGAACAAACTTTCCAATTAAAGATTTTAAATAAATTTGCCATCTATGTTCCTTCAATATTGCCAGAATATTATTCACTTTACCCAGTTTTGCATTAAAAAAATAAGTTTAAGCAAAATTAAATCCTGCACGTGTAGTGGCTTTTCATTTTTAAATAATTTCTGCTTTAGGAGGATGAAGCAGGAGGATCTTTAAGAATAGGAGTTCAAGACCAGCCTGGGCAACACAGCGAGACCCCTTCCCAAACTTGTTTCTACAAAATGAAAAACTTAGCTAGGTGTGGCTGCAGTTGCACCAGGTGTGGCTGTAGTTGCATGGCTGTAGTTGCTTAGCCAGGTGTGCACCTCTAGTCCTAGCTACTGAGGAGGCTGAGGCAGGAGGATTGCTGGTCAGAAGTACGAGGCTGCAGTGAGCTATGATTGCACCAGTGCACTCCAGCCTGGTTGACAGACAGAGCAATATTTCTGTCTCAAAAAAAAAAAAAGGAAAAACACTTTAAATATACAATATTTATCTAAATGTTAGACAAATTGACTTTCGTGTAGCTGTTGAAATACGAACTAGCACACAAAGTTTGAGCCTAGACATTCCAAATGTCCCCATTTTAACCAACAATTTTTTTAATTAAAAAATATATATATAATCTCAGTGACCTTTTTGTAAAGGATATTATCACTGAAATCAAGGCATCAGTAGGGTTGGTTCCTTCTGAGGGTTGTGAGGGGAGGATCTGTTCCAGGCCTCTCTCCTTGACTGGTAGATGGCTGTCTTCACGTTCTCATGATGTTCTCCCTCCATGCCTGTCTCTGTGCCCAAATTTCCTTTTTCCCTCCCCCCCCACAGGGACACTAGCCATATTAGATTAACACCTATTCAAATGGCTTCATTTCAACCTGATTTTCTCTTTAAAGACTCCATCTCCAAATAAGGCCACATTCTCAGATACTGGAGGTTAGGACTTCAACTTAAGAATGGTGGGGGAGGAGGAGTACAATTTAACCCATGAAGTGTAGTTTGTATGAAAACCAGATTAAAGGCTAATTACACAATCTGCTTTTGGGGTCGACTTTTAGTATGAAAACTGCTGGTGATTTTCTAAGTGAGAAAAATAAAATCGTTAAATAGAGGAACCTACCTGTTCATTAAGAAGTATCTTTATTTTAGGTGAACATCTGTGGGGGCCTTGTGAGTACACGTTATATTCTCTGACCCTATCACAAACCTGTCTGGCCAGCCTGTAGAGTGACTGCTCACATCTCATACTTAAGTAAGAAATTATTTTAAGAAAGTATTAGTTTTATTTGAAAATAAGTGAAAGTTTTTTTTTAGTTCTTTTCAGATTGGTATATTTCAGGATTTTTTAATGTTTTTAAGCATTAGGCAATGATTTCCTACTATTCGATCTGAGTATCCGGTAAAACTCAAAACAAATGTAGGTTCTATATTACTCAGCTATATTCAAAATGAATATGCCCAGTATATTTAAGAGTAGCAAAGCAACTTCACAACAAATAATGTTAAATATGAATTTGAATTGTACCATCTCTTTTGCTACTTTGTCTTGGAAATTGTATGATAACATAATATCTAGGTTTTCTGACGCTAGTCCAATAGATAGCTGCCTTATTTACATTTGTTTTATTGTAGTTCAATTTCAGAATGGTTCTGGGCATCTTTATGCAATTTTATAAAGTTAAGTCCATCAGCCTTTGGGCAGTGCTATTGAACACTGACCTTGGAATCTAGGAAATGAATATAAATGAGATTCTAAATATAATGTGTTTCCTTTCATAGCACAGATGATGTATAAAACGAACACAGAAATGTGCCATTAATTTGAATTTGAGTTACATACTTTTGTGTTTTCCTTGGGTAGAAGGGTCTGTGATTACAGATGACAGAATTGGAATTCACAACGATTTTCCTGAAAACTACTACATAGAATTATTTTTCCACTACTCAGCATCTTTGCAAAGCATTTTATTGTAATTTTTCTACTTACAATGTTAGCTTTCACTATAAAATGAATATTATTATAATTACATAGTGTTGAATGACATGGAAATTGCAAATTATTTTATTTGAGATGAATCTTTCAGTAAAACTATGTTATTAAAGTGTTCAAAGTAAGCATAAAAATATCACCCTGCCCTGGAAAAGAGAGCTAATGTCATAAATGGAGCTCACAGGCTAAACTCATTTTATCTCCTTATTTTAGATAGGCATTTTCCAAAAACAAACTATGTCACTGAAGAATGCAAGACTGTTTCTTTAGAGCCTTCCATGCTTAACTTGAAAGCTGTCAACCCAGGAGGCTGAAACAGAGCTAGATTATGAATCCTGAGTGAATAGCTCATTCTTTGCGCCCATGCTTTTGCTGCATGCTGCCATGTGGTACAAGGCTGAGAGGTATGCACTATGATAGCTAATGAAGCACTTCCTTTATATCGCACTGACCAGAACTCTTACTTGAAGCCCGTATATTATGCCACTGAAATCTCACAATGTGAGCTTTTGTTCTGGCTAGCAGAGGCAGTTGCTTGTCCTTTCTGTAGCTAAATTTCATGCACCAAAGTTGTTAGACCCTTTACTAATATGTGTAGGTCTAAGTCATAAAACCAGCTTCTGCTATGTTTGCAAGAATGTTTTGTTTTGTTTTGTCTGCCTTTTCAATGCAGCATCCCCTAAAGCCAATCATTTGTAATTTTGAGGCCATTGAGAGATAAAAGGCTTGAAGTAAAAGTCATCGGCCCTCCTGAACTCACTCATCTATGTCAAATATAGTGATACAGTTAACATTCTAAGAACAGAGATTGAGAAGAAACTTAATTTAGGATGAAAAGAATGGCATCAGATGGACCAAAATTAATTACACTGTGTAATCCTCGATGTAACTGAGAAATATTCAATGTGACCCATTTGTTATATTTAAACATATTATTATCATAAGGTATTATGTAATTAGGGCCTCCTTTCCTGGACTGTGGTTAGATTTTGTGTCTCATTGCATGCTTTCAGAAAGTGACCTAAAGAACAATACATAGTGATTGTCATAACAATCTATGAAATATAGGCTTCGGTTAACCAAAATGCAAATATCAAATATTTAAAAGTTCCTCAAAACTTATAAATTTTTAAATGAAAAAATTATGAACCACATTCTCAAACTTGAGGTGTATCAAGTCCTTCAGGGAGTCCTCCATGGTTCCTTCCTCTCCCTCATTGAACACATCCCATCAGTCACAAAATACCATAACTACACATCCCCAAACTGGCGGCTTCTCTTCAATCCCTTCTCCAAGCCCTTGGTATCAGTAGCCACCATTTTTCACTGTGTGAAAGCTGATTTTACAAATTGGGTCATTCTTGTAATATTCAGGTAAAACAGAATAGAAGAACCAGGGAGAAAGCACTCAAGACATATAGCACCTGCTCCAAGAATTAAATCTTCCACAAGCCCAGCTGCTGAAACTGCCCATTGGAACATGAAACCAGTTTTTCTCTCATAGCTACTGAAACAACCTGCTATGAGTCTAAGGCCAGTTTTAACCACCACTGTCACTCATGAATCAGAGCTTGCCAGCTCCCCAGAATTTTACTAGTGCCAATGAACTTTCTGGAAAAACAATATGTAACATTTTTCCTTTTAGAAAACCTCCAACCTTCTCCTTGTTCTTTAGACAAAGATCATCTGGTTTGTGTGTATGCCCCGAGTTGCAATTCTTGCTTCCCAAATAAAATTTAGAGATTTGTCTCTAGATTGCATTTAACTTAGACACCTGGATCTAACACACCTATTATTTTAGCTTGTTTTCAGACTGCTATAAAGAGATACCCAAGACTGGGTAATTTTAAAGGAAAGAAGTTTAATTGACTCACAGTTCCACCTGGCTGGGGAGGCCTCAGGAAACTTATAATCATGGCAGAAGGTGAAGGGGTAACAGGCACCTTCTTCACAAGGTGACAGGAGGAAGTAAGTGCGAGAACAAGGAAGTACCACACTTTAAAACCATCAGCTCTCCTGAGAACTCACTATCATAAGAACAGCAAGGGGAAAACCACCCCCATGATCCAATCACGTCCACCTGGAACCTCCCTTGACACATGGGGATTACAATTCAAGATGAGATTTGGGTAGGGACAAAGAGCCAAACCATATCACCTGCCTTCGGGCTGACCTCACAACCTCCAGACTCTTCTCACATCCTTTACTTCCTTTCTTCCACTCAACCTGTTTTCCAAATAATTACCCAGACTGTAACCCCAATGAAGCACAGCTGAGACACTGGCCCTCACGTGTTCCATGTCTGTTGCTGCATCTCACCATTTGGTCTTGTTAGAAACAATTAACTAGTGTGGGTTGGCTTTTTCAGAGTACGAATAAAAAAAAAAGTGAAATGTTCAGGATAACACAGTTTAAAGGTTTTATGTAAAAGCACTTGAGGAAGAAGGTGAAAGGAAATTGATTAAGCCACTGAAATTCCCTAGAAATAGAATAACATTCAGAGTTCCCCAGCAGCTTTCCCCTGTCTCATACTCAGTTATCCTCGCTCACTTCTCACCCTTCAGACCCCTGAATATGCATATGACAATTACTACATTATAAATAAATTCACAGTTGTATAATAAATTGCTAACTGTCTGTCATAACTGATAGACTTTCAGCCCCACCAGGGCTGGAAAAAGTCTGTCTTCTCCACTAAGCTATGTGTCTTGCAAGTATCAGACTGTCAGCAAATTGTGAAAATAATAAATGAATTAAATAATGCATTTGATAGTCTAGCAATAGATCTGGCTACTCAGCAGCGTCTCTGACAGCATCCACTTTAGAAATAAGCATATGTTTTTCCCACTTTCGCACTGTGTATCACTGTGATGCAGGTCCTTAAAGCAATTGACCAGCTAGGTCTCATTCAGAAAAGAGCAGTCCTGTCAGGCGCCCAGCCTATGTCTGTATCAGGCCCTACTACTTGGTACATTGTCTGTCCTGAGAAGCAGCATCATTTGGTCCATGCTTATGACCTCTGCCCAGAATCTCTTGAAAAGGAGACCACAGGAAGCAGGCATCATGAAGGAGTCTTCAGAAGAGGCAGTGTACCAGGAAGGCACCTTGTCTGGACCCCCTGCCGGGTATTCAAATTTTGCTATACATTAGAATCACTTGTCAAAACCCCAGTGGCCAGATGAATCCCAATAAGTTTTAAATCAGAATTTTTGGAAGTCAGACGCAGACATCAATATTTTCTAGGATTGCCAGGTGATTCCAGCATGTAGCCAAGTTACAGATGCCACACTCTAGGATTTTGTGACTAGTGCTCCAGGACCAGGGACATTGGCATCTGCTGGGAGTGTTTTAGGAGGGCAAAATCATAGCTCTGTCCCAGATCTATGAAATCAGAATTTGCATCATAAAGCAAATCCCTTGTGTAGAGTTGTCTGAGCTCCTTATACATTCTGATAATCAATCCTCATTGATTGCTGTGCATGTTGAGGTGTGAGAAGCACTGCCCTAGCACAGAGAGCAGTATCACACCATTAACTTACTCCTGGCCATTTTCTTTCTCTTTTGTCCTTCTCTCTTCCACCTGTCTCTTCACTCTATATACCAGCCATCTAGAACTCCAATTACCTGAAATGCAACCTCTTTCTTTCTTAGTAAAGTGCTGTTAGTATTACAAAACCTTTAAACATTTAGAAAGTTCAGGGGAAAATGTGATGAAACCCTATGTATGCACCATTAATATGTAACAAAAATAAACTTACTATCATTGAGTCCTTTCTTATTTAAAAAAAAAAATGCTACAAGGCCAGGCCCGGTGTCTCATGCCTGTAATCCTAGCACTTTGGGAGGCCAAGCGGAGAGGATCACTTGAGGCCAGGAGTTTGAGACCAGCCTGGCCAACATGGTGAAATCCTGTCTCTAATAAAAATACAAAAAAAAAAAAATAATAGCTAGGCATGGTGGCGGGCACCTGTAGTCTCAGCTACTTGGGAGGCAGAGGCAGGAGAATCGCTTGTACCCAGGAGGAGGAGATTGCAGTGAGCCGAGATCATACCACTGCCCTCCAGCCTGGGCAACAGAGTGAGACTCCGTCTCAAAAAAATAAAAAATTTAAAAAAATTAAAAAGCTACAAACATAAAATGAAAGCCACCTATTCATTTCTGTCTAATTTCACTCTGTTCCTCCACAAACGTGTCCATTATCCTGAAGTTGCTATGGCTATCTTGTCTTTTCCACCATTTTTCTTCCATTTGAAATACCTTATTAAAAAAAAAACATACAAGAAAGGCTGTCCTCATGGAGGTTATAATCTGGTGTGTCAGCAGATAACAAGCACAGTGAGTAAATAATTTACACTAGAAGATGGTATGTGATATGTAGAAAAATAAGCAGCAGAGAGTTCAATGGAGTTCTGAGGAGCATTGTCATTTTAAATTCAGTGGTCAAGGAAAGTGTGTCTGAAGAGTTTACATTTAAACAAAGGAGTGAAGGAAGTAAAGGAATGAATCATGAGGTTATCGAGCAAAAGTGTTACAGACTAAGAGAACAGCCAATGAGAAGAGCAAGTGTTACAAGACTGAGAGAACAGAAAGAGACGTGCTTAACATGTTTAAAGAAAAGCAAAGATGCTTTGTGGGTGGGAGCAGATTAATGGAAGTGGAGGTTAATAGCAGAGAATGAGTGAAAACCCAATCATGTAGGGCCTTGCAGGCAGTTGTAAGATCTTTGGAGTTTTCTTTGAATAAAATCAATAACTATTAGAATATTTGAGCAGACATCTTAACAGATATCTCTGGCTGCTGTGATAGACTTCAGATTGTGAGTGGGGAGGTGGAATGAGAACCAGAGCATAAAGGCAGAAGCAAAAGTCCAAGCAAGAGATCAGGTTCTTGAACCAGACTGGTAGCAGTAGAGGTGGTAAGAAAGGACCATATTTCAGAGACATTTTGAAGTTTCAGGGTGAAAGATTTCTTAGAGGGTTTGGGAATGAGGTGTGAGAAAAAGAAAAGTTAAGGATGAGAAACTGAAAGGATTGAGTCACCATGAGTGGAAATAGAAAATAATTCAAGAAAAACAGTTGGAGGGAAAACCTGGAAGTGTAGCTTTTGGAAATTTTACCTCTGAGATGGCTTTTAAACACCGAAGTGGAGATGTAAAACAGGTATTTCAGTACATAAGTCTGACACCAAGGGGAGGAACCTAGAAGGCACTATAGGAGTTTGAAAGTGATAAGCATATAGCCAGATGCAGTGGCTCACGCGCGTAATCCCAGCATTTTGGGAGGCTGAGGCAGCCAGATCACTTGAGGTCAGAAGTTCAAGACCAGCCTGCCAACAGGGCGAAACCCCATCTCTACTAAAAGTACAAAAATTAGCAGGGTGTGTTGGCGGGCCTCTGTAATTCCAGCTACTCGGGAGGCTGAGGCAGGAGAATGGCGTGAACTCAGGAGGCAGAGGTTGCAGTGAGTGGAGATTGTGCCATTGCACTCCAACCTGGGCCACAGAGTGAGACTCTGTCTCAAAAAAACAAAACAAGCAAACAAAAAGTGATGAGCATATAGCCATGGGAGGAAATGACAAGAGAAGTGTTTACAGATTATTAGAAAAACAAGAAGTCCCGAATACTAATGACAAGGGGGCAGGGATGTTAGAAAGATCAAGCAAAGGGCGCAGACAAAGAGTAGCAAGGGAGACATAAGAAAAATATTTTGAGGAGAAGGAAGTGTTCAAATATATCAAATGTCCTCGAGTAAGATAAGGGCTAAGAATTAACTATTAGAATTTTTAATGCGGAGGACTTGGGTGACCTTGACAAGAATCGTTTTGAAGGTGTAGGGATCAAAGACTGATGGGCATTTGTTCTAAAGAGAATCAGAAGACAGAAAATGAAGACAATAAATGTAGAGAACTCTTTTAAAAATTTTGCCATGAAGGGGGACAGAAAAATGGAGAGGCTGAGAGCAGTGGCTCATGCCTGCAATCCAAGCACTTTGGGAGGCTGAAGGTGAGAGGACTGTCAGAGCCCAGGAGTTTGAGACCAGCTTGAGCAACATAGTGAGACTCTGTCTCCACAAGTTTATTTTTAATTTAAAAATTAAAAACCGGGAAGAAAATGGAAAAATAGCTGGAGAAGCAAGTGTAATCAAGAGAGGATTGTGTTAATATAAGAAAAAAACATTATGCTGGTATGCTGATGAGAAACTCAGTGAAATGAAGATGAAACAGGATGAAAAATACAGAAGTGATACTCTACAACACATGAGAGAGAAAGGGATATAGTACATGCATGGAGAAATTGGCCTTATATAGGAGCACAGAAAGTTCATCTAAAACAGTAAGAAGAAAGGTGATACATATATATATATATATATATATACATATATATATATATATATATATATGACAGCTGGCAGGTATTTGTCAATATAATGACTTATAAATGTTACTTTATTGATAATTAGCAATCAATAGCACACTAGTGACCAATGCTGTCAAGGTTTAGGTGTGTTTGCAGTCTCTGTGTGTTGATAACTATTGCATTAATGAAACTAATATTTTGTAAGCTGAAGTAACAAGCTTTTAGTATAATATTCCTATTCCTAATTCTGTGATTAACCAATGAAAGCTAAATTTCTTCCAAACATACTGCTTTTCCATAAAATTAAATAATTTCTTCTAATGTACCAAATAAGAAGCTTCATTGTGAAATACATATTAATGCTCTCTAGAAAAGATTTAGTTTATGTGTTTTCTGTGATCATTTTCTTTCACTTAGACTTTGTACTTTCTTTTAATAAGAGAATATGACAATACATGTGAGTTTTTCAAAAAATAAAAAAATACAAAGTTCAGTCTCATTTTCTTGCATTTAAAAAATATGACAAAACCCTTTAAAAAACATTTTCCTGTAGTAATTTTGTTGTTGCTTTTCTCTTATTCCATTGTTAATATTCTCAGAAATTAATACTCTATGAACACATTTCTAGTACATAGTATAGAACAGTGGTCTTTAATTAGTCATTTATATAACTGCCCAACAGAACTTTGGAAAAATATATATTCACTCATGTTTTTAAGGTTACAGCTGATACTTCTATCATAAGATTAAATAGTTGGGAATGATAGAATTTCTAGTTTTTTATTGTATATATATTTTTATTTATTTTCATCAAAATATTGAATCTGAAAATTTAGCTTATTCAATTTATTAAAACTTTGTCCATAAATAATTTACTGGCAAATCCAATTTTCATTATTAACCAATCAGTCAGATCCAATAAACATGCTAATATGCTTCCTTTAGAATTATTTCACTTCCAAGTTCTACCTTGTATATAGGTATATATGTAGACAGGTATGGGGGTATATATATATATATCTGTCTAGACAGGTATATATATACACCTCTAGACAGGTATATATATACACCTCTAGACAGATATATATATGTACCTCTAGACAGATATATATATATATATATATATATATATATACACCTCTAGACAGGTACATACATATATATAGAGAGAAAGAGGTATATATATATATGTGTATATATATATATACACACACACATATATATATACACACACATATATATGCACACACACACATATATATACACACACACACATATACATATACACCTGTCTAGAGGTACATATATATACCTATATACTGTCTAGAGGTACATATATATATATATATGTATATATACCTGTCTATATATATATATATACACACACTTGTCTAGAGGTGCATATATATACCTGTCATACACATATATACCTGTCTAGATATATACCTAGATATAGATACATATATGTTTGATAGATACATATGTTTGATATAGAAACATATGTTTGATAGATATAACTACATATGTTTGATAGATACATATGTTTGCCTTGCCAAAAGTTTTTCATCTAGATAAAATAAGATGTCTCACCTTCAATCATTTCATACTGAACCTCTCTTTGATTTGTTCTCAAAGGACCTTAACATGCCTTATGCAGCACTCCAGAAGTTTTATAGTTGAGAGCAATGCACCTTAGTAACACTGCAGATGAATGAGAGATTATTTGTTAAGTGGGGAAAATGCTATTGTGAAAGAGGTTGGAGGGAAAGAGAGAGTAATCCTTCACCCATGATCAACCCATAGACTCGTTCTTAGGCAAATTAGTTTTAGGAAACAGAGATATGGAAATTCATAATAAAAATTCAAAATCTAGAACTAGATCCCTTAAAACTGTCTGAACCCACATATATCTGGAAAATTTTTATGTACTCCCAGAGATATGTGTGCACATACTGAAGACTGTGATTTAGAACAATGCATGCTAGATTGAACATCTAAAAGCTACATTCTTTGTTTTGGCCGACTACAACTGACTTTTCTGTGTAAATCATTTAACTCACCAAGTATTAATTATAGTTTTGCAAAGTAAGGGATTTTGGCTAAGGTAATATTTTCCAAAGAGTTTTCAAATGAATATTCCTCACAAAGTGTTCTTTGGAAAAAAAAAAAAAGTGTGTGTGTGTGTGTGTGTGTGTGTGTTTAAAGAAATCTGAGGAGTGCTGTTAAATGTGCTTTTTGTGGAAAGTAAAATACACATTGGTAGAGTAAACTCACTGAGAATTCTTGCAAGAGAAAAACATATTTAACTTCATTTAACCCATTGATTTCTAGGCTATTTGACCATACATGATTATTCTTTTTTAATCGTAGCTAATAGCACCATTAAGGGCTACTGTTCTAAGGAAGATACTTCAAGAATCTGAGCCAGAGTTTTCTGAGACTCTTTCTAGCCATACAGCTCCGTGATTTAATATGGAACATGTAGCTTGATTCCAGTAGTAACTGCAGTAACTGGTCTTCTTAAATGATTCGTCCATTCAGCAGTGTTTAAGCTTTAATTAAAGATAACACAAGCTGCTCTGGAAAGAGCTAAAATAATATACATAATGATATTTTGTTTTAAGATTCTATTATTTTATTTCTTTTCTACTTATACAAAATGCTCCTGCAGAAAACCATATGCCTCCGTATATATTTCTTTACTATGGGGTATGAGTGAGACTTACCTTCCTTTTGACTTTTAAAATTCGAATTGCCTGTATATAGCTCAAGAAGACCATGCAAAAATTCTGTATTAGTCTTCTCACATTGCTACAAAGATACTATTAAGACTGGGTAATTCATAAAGAAGAGAAGTACAATTGACTTACAGTTCCTCATGGCTGGGGAGGCCTCAGGAAACTTACAATTATGACAGAAGACAAAGGGGAAGCAAGGACCTTCTTCACATGGCAGCAGGGGAGAGAAGCACAGTGTGAGCAGAGAAAAAAACTGCCATTTTTAAAACCATCAGATCTTTCGAGACTCCCTCCCTATCACAAGCACAGCATGGGGGAACTGCCCCCCATAATCCAATCACCTCCCCTCAGGTTCCTCCCTTGACAATGAGCATTACAGTTCAAGATGAGATTTGGGTGGGGACAAAGAGCCAAACCATATCAATGTCTCTCTAGCCTATTGTAAGGATAGTTGCCTGTTTCTCAGACTAGAGTCTGGGAGTCTCAAGGATGAAGATACTTCACTGATTTCTTCAATTTCAGTACCTGCCTTTCACATATAAGCACAACAAATATTTCCTAAATGAATTTAACTGTTTCTGCCTATTCACGTGTAGTTTGTAAACAAGCCGGAGAGCCACTTTTGAAAACAGTGGAAAGGATAGAAATAAAGGGTAACATGTTGCTAGACCATCTCTTTAAGCTCTAGAATTTTCATGTGATCCTTGAAAATCCAAATGCATGACATGCCTGAGCCACTTTTGTCTTTTTTGGCAGTAACACCCTCAGAGTTCTTCTGGAGATTAGTTTAGCATGACCTTCCAATTCTGAAGCCAGGCAGGCCTATTTCAATCAACCTGTTCTTTTCCAGATGTTTTTTCTACCACATCCTTTAACAGGGTTTAAAAATTTAATTCCTCTGCTCTTTAATGTATCAGCTTTTTTTGGATTCGTTGTGTCACATACATGAGTTATGTTATGTGTGTTAGTTACACAGCAATGTTTCTGTGTCATCTCACTGGGGTATTTCATGAAAATGTGGAAGCACAGATGGTGAAAATGTAATTGGAGGGTTGAAGCAGTTAAATTTGCTTACCTTATCTAGAGCTTTATAGAGTGTTTTGAAATACTTTTCAACTCAAATGGAAGTGCTTTCTAATACAGCTTGTAGTTTTCCTTGGGATAATGAGCTCCTAAAGAAAATACTTTTTTTAAAGTATTAAGTTTCTTTTCATACAATTGTTTTACTTGCCATTCACTGATTTCTTCTATTACTCATGGACGTATCACCTCGCTAAGACTGATTATTCAGCAGTGAATACTGCCTCCTAACTGACTTGAGCAACCTGATTTAATTTCTACTTAAGATGTTATTTCCTTCCTGTGTTTTCACTGCTAATTTTTGCCAGCCCCAGAGTAAGAAAATAAGTCATCTGTAGGTGGAGACTCATTTCCTGACTTTTAATATAGTTGGTCAGTTATGGCTAAATGTAATGGAAGGAAAAATGTTTAAAAATAAGATAAATGTCTTATATTTTATAAATTGAGGGGACAAAGTACAAAAGAGAGAAGAATCCTTTCACTGAAATTCAGTGATTATAATTGATCTTCCACTGAATTCATGCCAACATTTTTCTGGAGCCCAGAGCAGTATTTTCTAAAAAGAGAAATTCTGTTGTCAGAAATGTAAGTGATCTTCCCTATGGCTCAGCTAAGAAATTAATCAACAATAATACCAACCCAAATAAGCTTGATTTTGTTTCTTTACTGGCTATCTTGATGTTTATTAACAGGTGGTCTTAGAGATATATCTCTATGTTATCAAAAAGAGGTGTGCTCTTAAGTTACGATGTCAATTAAATCCGTAGAATTGCCAAATCCATATGAGAGCTGATCAGGGTAAGGACAGTCTCCTAAAGTCTATTAAAGGTCCCACCTCTTAACAACGTAGTGGCAATTAAATTTTAGCATAATTTTCAGACATTCAAACCATAGAAATATTCCTTGTAGCTTTATTCATTTATTTAAAAATTATTATTGTTATTTATCATCTGCATACCTACTTCACTATTGCAGACCCATGGCATATCTCTCCAAATTCCACCTCTGTTTCACCTCCTGAAACTAATTCATTAATTCAATTTAATACTGGGGTGTGTAGTACACAGCAATGAACAAGATATAAACCAAAAGATAAATATCGGTCAAGTTTGTGAGCGTTACAAATGGACAATATCCAAGTACATAATGCCATAGAAACATGTAACATTCAGCTAACCTAGTGAGGTGTAGGGTCGGGTAGGCGTGGGATTGTTAACTTTAACTTGAAGAACTAACAATAGGAACAACAAGATATTGAACTTTTACTATGTGCTAGAACAAACATACTAAATTCTTACTATGTTCTCGGCATTAGGCACTATATATTCCTTCAACAACGTAACTCTTGCATTCAAATAACTCAGGGTTTGAAAAGAGATTCTGATAGATACAGAGATAATTACAATATTTTAAGTGCTATTTTTAAATTCATGCATGTAGAACTATAGGTGGTTGAGAATAATTTTTAAAGGTGTTAAACTTGAACAGAATTTTGAAGATGAAGCAATTTCATCCGGAAGACAAGAAAAAAGAGAGATTCCAAGAAAGGAAACGCGTGAAATGGGTGCAAGATAAGTGTGTTTTAGAAAACAGAAAGTATTTCAAAATGATTCAACAAAGTCTCTAGAGAAAGGAGTTGGGAGAAGAGATTAGAAAGAGTAGGCAGGGATATGAAGTTAGGGATTGATAGATGAGTGCAGATAGAGGTTAAATATTTTGTTATTAGTCGAGCTAACAAATAGCTAGATAAAATGATGTTGTATTTTCTAACCTTGACAAATTTGCCTTCTTAATGCATAAACTGTGTTTGTCTCTGCTGCCGACAGAGGCAAAACCCATACACCTTTATAACATTGAGAGCAATAGCATATACTCACCTTTTGTTTGAGGACAGAGAACAAGAAATGTAGAGAATCATTATCCTGGTGCCTGAAGAGTATCCCTTAAGACAGTGACATTTCTGGTTATAGACTGTGTTGGGTGAGTAACAGAGGCAGTCATTTTCTTCTTTAATACATGTATTAAATGTGATTCGTGATATGAGTGGCCCTCTGTGTTTGGAGTCCATTACAAGAGAACCCCTCTTACACAAGTCTATATGACGGTCATTTGATATAATGCTAAAGGCTTTGAGTTTTATGCAAAAAGCTATGAAAATATTAATAATTTTTCAGTAATAATTACTAAAAATATTCAGAAGGTCATAAAAAAATTGTTCAGTTGTTTATTATGAGTTCTAAATTGAAAATACTATTGTTTCCCAATAAATTAAACTGTTCTTCATACAAGATAATTCTTCCATCATTTCATAAGCTTTCCATCATATAGTGTGAAATTTTCCACATCATTTAAATCAAGCAGTCGCATGCAATAAAAATAGTTGATTTATCAAAATATTTTCAGGAATTTTATATCATAGACATTTAACATATGATTGTAATTAAACTAAGTCTATGTTTTTTATATATACAACTTAATTCAAGAAGAAAGAACTTCTCCAAAGACTTCTTCACTCTAGGATACATAAAATGTCTACTTCAGGAAATGTAGGATTGTTTTAACAATATACAGCATTCTAGAGACTCTTGCCAAGTTATGACAGAAACCGTGATTGATGAGTGAAATACAGAAAATAGAAAGAAGTCTAAATCTGGGATATAATATTCCAGAATGCTTAGAGCCATTTACTAAGACATTGAGCTTGTTGCAAGCATGGCCTGTCCTCTAACGCTGGTTTTCACCATCACTCTCTATGGACTGAGTGAATTCTGGAATAAAAGGTCCAAGAGAGCAGAGGGCCCTGGTTTTTCCTTCATTTACATAAAACTTCAATGCGAAGCAGAATGACATGTTGGTGATTCATGGATAAACCAGTCATATTCTGTAAATAAGACATCTGGAAGGTGACTTCAAGTTGCACCTAAAATATGATCTTGTAAAATTTGTAGATAAATGTGCTTTTTTAAAGAAAAATTTCCTTTGTTAAGTTCAATATAAAGGATGCAATCCAATCCTGTTATGGCTTTTTAAAGGGTTCTAAAATATTTCATCATATTAAAATAGTTTTTCAAGATTGCGATTCATAAATATTTGACATTGCAACTGATTAAAAGAAAACAAATTACCGAAATCTTGGTCTATTTTTAATGCTTGGACATTAAATTGAAGAATAATTTCAGACCATAAAATTCCATGAGTATTTAGAATTTATAGTGGTCTGTGATTATTGCTGAAACAAAGATTAATGACCAATATGAGAAAACCATTACATCCAGCAAACTGACCATGAGCCCTATAAATAGCATATCCCTTACAAGATTTTAAAAACTTTTTTTGACTTTATAATAGATAAGAATTCCAAGACGGCATAAAAGATTGTTTTCTTAATCCACTTCCCCATTCTCTTTAACATATCCTGGAAGCCAACGCACGTATCTAATAACTTGTGAATTATTCTGCTTGGCTGGTATCCCAGTGGGCTTTAAAATAGTAATATGTTTAAGGCTGCAAAAATAGTTAATTTTTAACGTGATAGGCTTCTTACCGTTTTATGCATCATCATAAAATATGAAAACATTGGATTCCAAATTCTTTAATTGCTATCCATAATGATATAATAATTCTAAGATTTCTTTAAACATCACAAACAAAAGATAGGAAAATAGAAAGTCTTGTTTTTTTCAACTATGTCATTTATCTTAGCACAAATGGTTCAGCCAGGTGTAGAATTCTAATATTCAGATTCCAAATTCAATACTTTGTCATTATTAGTATCATCATCTGGCTAAATGTTCTCTTTATATGGTATTAAACTAGAACTGACAAAGTATATTACACAAATAGAGTTCAACAACACCACGAATTCAATTTACAATTGACTGAGCAGAGAATAAGAAGAGTAAACCTTGTCATACAATGCATCATGATCCAATTTGGACATGGAAAAAGCTACTCTGGGGCCCAGTTTGGCCAGGAAAGAAAAGGTGAATATTGGCCGGCAAAGATGACTTAGGGGAAACAACCTAAGTTTTCCTGCCTGACATTTATGCAGCTGGAGCTTTCCAAGTTCTCTTCTTTACTTTATATTATATTTAAAGTATATATATATATAGTAGCATATATATATAGTATAAGATCTTTACATTATAGACCTCTCCCTATTACCTTTCCATAAAATATTATGCTCTAATTTGAGCAGGATATCCATGTTTTGTTCATATTAAAAATGAAAATTTTAAATGCAATGTTAGTTCTTTTGTGAACTCAAATATTTTGTTCATAAATGTTGCAGTTTAAATTTATTTACATATGTATTTATTCATAGTTAATTTTAAAATTTTATTAAATGCCTACTATGTGCCTATGTTCTAGCACTGAGGATACGACGAAAATATAAACAAAAACCCAGCCCCTGTGGACAGGGCTGCAGTACTGCACAGTTCCAGGGGGGGTGCTATTAAACTTGGAGTCTATGTAAATAGTGCCCCCCTGAAGGTGGCAGAGTACTCACTGTGGCTCTTAAGTGGTAACTGTTCACGGATAGATCAAATTCTTTATTTAAGCAGCATTATAGAACAAAGAGACATTGAATCATATTTTGGAAGTGAATTTCCCAAAAGAAATGAAGCTTACTCCCAAAATTTACAAAATATTTTTAGCTTTTTTAATGGACAGTTGTGTAAAATGGATTGTATATTTTCATGCCTTGTTAAACAGAATATACCGATCGGACTTAACTTATTCTTAATGACTACATTTCTTCATCTCGAACACAGGCTATTAGACTGTGCTAAAGTTCTATGATTACTCTCAAGAGCATGAATCATGCACAACAGTATGTAATGGAGCAGCCCCAGCTGCTACACTTTTCAGTTCTTTTGTCTGTTCTTTGTAATCTCTCCCCTCACGCTGTAGGCTCTCAGATCCTCCCATCTCTGCACCTCTCACTAAAGTTCATTTTCTCAGACCAAAGTACTGTGTTTAATCTTCTATGTACAGATTAACCTCATAACCAAATTGATCCAAACAATTACACTATGTATGTATTATTTAAATTAGAGTAATAAGACCACAGGTAATAAGATATGAGAACAATCACTGATAAAAATGTTTATTTTGGCTGCTCCAAGACCTTCTGGTCTCTGGGTTGCAAATTATTGGGTTTGTCAGTTAAGTGACCAATCTAGTAAGTTACTTCCTATTTGTGTGTGTGTGTGTGTGTGTGTGTGTGTTTGTGTGTGTGTAAGAGAGAATGACAAAGAGAGGAGAGAGAGAGAAAAATTATTTTATGTGCATTGTTTACTATATATATTATACATGGGATGCAATGCTAATATAAAACTAATGAATAATAAAACCATTATTTTTATCATTTTAAGCTTATTTTTAATCAAATTGTTCATTTTTATTTTTTTAAATTTTTGTATTTTTTTGTTTCAATAGCTTTTGGGGTACAACTGGTTGTTGGTTGCATGGATGAACTGTGTAATGGTGAAGTCTGAGATTTTGCTACACCAGTCACCAGAGTAGTGTACATTGTACCCAATATGCAGTGTTTCATCCCTCACTTCCCACTCGCCCTCCCCTCTTCTGAGTCTCCAAAGTCCATTATACCACTTTGTATGCCTTTGCATACCTATAGCTTAGCTCCCAATTACAGATGAGAACATACAGTATTTGATTTTCCATTCCTGAATTACTTCACTTAGAATAATGGCCTCCAGCTTCATCCAAGTTGCTACAAAAGACATTATTTTGTTCTTTTTTATGAGTGAGTAATATTCTCTGGTATATATATAAATATAAAACACATCTTCTTGGTGTTATTTATAGATATGTATCACATTTTCTTTATCCACTCAGTGGTTGATGGGCACTTAGGTTGGTTCCATATCTCTGCAATTGTGAATTGTGTTGAAATAAACATACATGTGCGGGTTTCCAAAGAACTAAAAATAGATCTACAATTTGATCCAACAATCCTCCTACTGGATATTTACCCAAAGGAAAAGAAGTCATTATATCAAAAAGACACATTTTAAAATTCTTTACCAGATGACTGCACTAGCTATTAGGTCTAAACTATCTACTTCTGAACTTAAGGAAACTGACAATACAAATATCACAATTCTAGCACAAGGCACTACTTCACGAAAGACTACAAAGTTGTATTATTTTTATGGCTAACAATACAAAAAAAGATTTCCTACTTTGCATTATTTTTGTGAATTTGACTAAACTGAATATTTTAAATTGAATATTTATTCTAAAATAAATATTTGCTAAATACCAACAATATGCAAGGTTTACTAATCACTGGAACAAGCAAAATTGACCCTTTTCATAGTTAATTTATAAAATCACTGTCAAATAGGGTTTGTCCATATGCAAAGCTAGTTTATAATTAGAAAATAAATCAATGTGATTTATAATAGTGATAAAAAGAAGACAAATCATATCATAATTTCAGTAGGTGCAGAAAAACATTTGCCAAAATACTGAAATAAAACTATCTTCAGTAATAGACTACGTAATTATCTAGGTAAAAAACTCATAGGGAATCAACAAAAAAGTTATTAGAACCAATAACTGATTTAACCATGTCTCAAATTACAATATAAATATAAAAAACTCAATTCGTATTTCTACATACAACCAAAAACACTTGAAATCAAGAAAAAGCATCAAAAATATAAAACGTTTATGGATAAATTTAACAAAAATTATGTAAGGCCTACAAACTGAAAACTATAAAACATTGCTAAATGTTTAAAAAGATCTAAATAAATGTGTAGCTCTCCCATGTATATTGATCAGAAGGTCAATAGTGTTGAGGTGACATTTGATCAATCTCGATCAAAATCCAAGACTTTCTTTCAAAGAAATTGATGACCAGTTTCTGAAATTTATATGGAAATTCAAAGGACCTAGATTAGCCAAAACAATTTTTGGAAAAAAAAAATCAGACTTAATATACAGTTACAATAGTCAAGACATTGTGGGTATATTTGAAAAGACAGATCTATAGACCAATGGTACAGAACAGTGTGCCCAGAAATAGACCTACGCATATGGTCAATTTAATGTCAGCAAAATGCAAAGGCAGTCCAATGAAGAAAGAATTGTCCTTTCAACAATTGCTACTGGAAAATTTGTACATACATAGGCATAAAAAAATCTTGGCTCTTTATACCACAGACAGTCTCTAAATAGAACACAGGCCAAAATATAAGAGCTAAAGGTATACAACTTCTGAAAGGAAACAAACAAAAAATAATGTGGTCTTGAATTAAGTAAACATTTATTAGACAGCACAGAAAAATTCCAATCCGAAAAAGATAAAAAATGTTAAACTGGACTGCAACATAATTAGAAACAGTTGCCCCTCAAAAGATATTCTTAAGAAAATGAAAGAAAAACCACAGACTGGAAGAAAATATTTGCAAAATAAATACTGATCAAGCACTTATATCCAGTGAGTTGTAAGAACTCACTGGGAAAACACAAAACCCAAGTAGAAAATTGGGTAAAATATTTGATTGACACTACACCAAAGAATATACATAAACTTCAAATAAATCAGCTGGGTGAGGTGGTTCATGCCTGTAATCCCAGCACTTTGGGAGGCCGAGGCAGGCGGATCACGTGGTCAGGAGATCGAGATCATCCTGGCCAACACGGTGAAACCCCATCTCTACTAAAAATACAAAAAATTAGCCAGGCTTGGTGGCAGGCGCCTGTAGTCCCAGCTACTCGGGAGGCTGAGGCTGGAGAATGGCATGAACCCGGGAGGCGGAGCTTGCAGTGAGCCGAGATCGCGCCACTGCACACCAGCCTTGGCGACAGAGTGAGACCCCGGCTCAATAAATAAATAAATCCATAAAAAGATTCCCAAAATCATTAGAAAAATGAAAATTAAAACCACAATTAGATAACACTACACATTTACTAGGGTGACTACAGTTAAAAGTATTTCCAGTATGTAGAGCAAGTGGATCTCTCAGAGATTGTTGTTGCTGGGTATGAAAAATAGTTCAGCCACATTGGAACAGTTTGGCAGTGTCTTACGTAATTAAATATGCACTTATCATATAACCTGGGAATTCCATTTCTAGGTATTTACTTAAGAGAAAGAAAACACATCTTTGCACAAAGACTTGTATGTGAATGTTCATACCAGCTTTATTTGTTATAACCAAAAACTAGAAACAATCAAAATGCCCGCCAACCTGTGAGTGTATAAACAGGTTGTGGTAGACTCACAGTGGAATACTACTCAGCAATAAAAAGTCTGAACAACTTCCATGCACAATGATCTGGACAGGTGTCAAAAACAGATTGTACACTTAAAATTGGTTAATTTTCTTGTATGTAAATTATAACTCAATAGAGCTAATGAAGAAATAGAATTAGCTGGTTAAATAGTTCCTATGATAGCAAAGTAGTGTAGAATATCAGCTACATGTCTCTCAGAGAGAATTGTGGTATGGCTTAACAGTCAAGAACCTGCATTTATGATATAAAAACTAGTAGCACGAATTTTGCTAGAGTCTTGAGAGGACAATCTGAACTCCTGTTCTGGTGTCCTTCTGTGACCCATGTCCATCCTGACATTCAAAACCATGCTTGTAGATAGCTACTTGAACAAATCCCCAGATGAGTGATTGCCATGTCGAAGGCTTCAGTGACCAACTGGTTGGGGTTTTTCTCTTGTCTTCACAGCCTCATTACTAATCTCAGAAATAATTAGTGCCATACTTCAGATCCAATAAACATTTTGGTGATAATAGGAAATTGATTGATCTGAATGCATGCTTTTTGAACAATACTTGTAGGAAACATGTGATATAACCAAAGCCTACAGTCTGCGCAGACACATTTTGTAAGAGATGGCACTTGTCTGGTTTATTCAGTTCATGAACTGGAATTCTGAGTGGGGGTTTTCTGTTTAATATCGGACGTTAATAACCTCTCCTTAATAATATCTAAAGAGGTTCATTAAAACTGGAATTTCATAAAGACCACAAAAATAATCCATTAAGAAGGATTAAAATTTTACTGTGGGATAGAAAATATGAACGGTTAGTTTAAATTTAAGCCCATTTTTAAACATAACAGTATTTTACTAAAGTTGGAGTGAAATGCTTAACTGAGACCATGGAAATGATCATAATGAATTTTGACCAGATCTTCACCAGCCATTGCTGGTTTGTGGACCACCTATTTATTGACTTATTTCTGATACCTGTGTTTTTCAATATCCCATACTTGCCATCCCATTATAATTTCCTTTCATCAGGACTGATAGAGTATCAGCACATTCTCAGAATCTATGTGATTACTTGAAATTCAAAGTCTTTTGCGACTAGGTTTGTAAAGCTCTATTTATTTCTGTTTTGTGCTGCACACATCTCTGTGAACTGTCTCCAGAGTTTTTAAAATATGCCTGTGTGTCAATTTGATAACGTCTCCCTTCTCTTCACTGCTGCATTGAAAAGGTTTTGTAGCTTATTCTAGAATTGCTCAAGAAAAGTAAAATAATTGAATCAGCACTTCCTGGAGTGTTTCTTCTGTCCTACACCCACCCTTCTCAATATTTAGAAATAATTGACTCAACATTGAAATTTTCTCAACATTCAAACTATAAAATGTACACACACACACACACACACACACACATACACACACATTTCTTAATGCCTCATCTTCAGGAACAAAAACAGAATAAAAGCTACAAACATGCCCACCTGCACAGGTTATAATCTTAACCAGAAACACTTTCCCTGGGCAACTCCTGACATCAGTTGCTGGTGAGGGACAGAAGCTCCTGGCCTCAAGGGGTAGATTGGAAAAAGGGCACTGCGCCTCCTGTTCTTAAAGGAGCTCTCAGCTTGCTGGTTTGCTCTAAGCTTTCACCAAAATACTATTCGCGGCGGGTGCAGTGGCTCACGCCTGTAATCCCAGCACTTTGGGAGGCCGAGGTGGACGGATCACGAGGTCAGGAGATTGAGACCATCTTGGCTAACACGATGAAACCCCGTCTCTACCAAAAATACAAAAAAATTAGCTGGGTGTGGTGGCGTGCACCTGTAGTCCCAGTTACTTAGGAGGCTAAGGCAGGAGAATGGTGTGAACTCAGGAGGCAGAGCTTGCAGTGAGCTGAGATTGCGCCACTGCACTCCAGCCTGGGCAACAGAGCGAGACTCTGTGTCAAAATAAATACATACATACATACATACATACACACATACATACAATTTGCAGATCTACTGAAAAAAAGCAGAATTAAATATTGCCAATAATCAAGATAAAAAGTGATTATGACCAAATGTGATAGGAGAATGTGAAATTATTCAAAATAATAATATTTTACAAAGATTTAAGGATTCAGTCTTATCTATGAAGATCAAAATAATTTAAGTGACTAAATAGAAAAATGATGACAGGTTTTTAATCTGCCACGTATTTTAAGAGTGAGAGAAAAATGCAAAGATAGAAAAAATTGTATTAGATGAACTTTTATAGGGAAAAGGAAAAAGATATTTACGACATTACTATCTGCCGAACTGTGGGATAGTAGAGAGGACTATTTCTTCAAGCAATATTTTGCTCACATACAGTGAGGTTATTGTAAGTGAAGAGTTGGAGTCAGCAGTCTGAGCTTGAAATCTGCTTCTACCACTTATTACCTGAGTGACTTTGGGCAAGATACATAATGACATTAAGTCCATCTGTTTCTCCATCTGTAAAACCGGAATATTCATCCCACCCTACTATAGTGTTTCAGGAGGATTACTGGCTGAAATGAAGCCACACCCACTGATACACCACACATACCCAGATAGAGTAAACTCCTCACTTAACTGGGTAAAGACTCACAACAAAAATTCTGAAGCCAAAGAACCGAGCCACACAGAACAAGAGGAGACACAGCTTATCTCGGCATCATATCTGCTCGTCTTCGAAGTCCCTAGGAGGAGCGCACAGCTGTTGTTGACACCATCTGTAAAGAATACAGTCTCACCAGATCTGAAATATTCGAGATGCTGTTTTTTTTTTTTATACTCAGTGCTGGCACCACTATTTTGGGAGTGACTAACCAAAATAAATGTTTTCCCATTTACACGAAAGTTTATAAACATTGGATTCTCCAAGTGCTTGAGCCACACTCAATATCAGAGGGTCCCCTTGCTCACCTAGAGGAGAAAAACAGCATGAAAGCTCAGGTGGTCGTCATATTATCTCTGCTCCCACTTTCCAGTATTTAAGAAGGCCTATTTCTCCACAGAACCTCAGATAGTTTGTAAGAATTAAATGAGATAATGCTGTGAAGTTTCAACACAAAGTAAATATGCATTAGTAATTATTTTTATTATTACTTCAGTGAGACTTTGTGAGGTTTACATAAAGTAATGGATGTAATTTGCTTAGCCCAAAGCGTGGAACGTATTAACCTCTCAAGAGTTAGCTGTTGCTGGCCGGGTGCGGTGGCTCACGCCTGTAATCCCAGAACTTTGGGAGGCCGAGGTGGGCGGATCACGAGGTCAGGAAATCGTAGACTATCCTGACTAACACAGTGAAACCCTGTCTCCAGTAAAAATACAAAAAATTAGGCGGGCATGGTGGCGGGCGCCTGTAGTCCTAGCTACTCAGGAGGCTGAGGCAGGAGAATGGCGTGAACCCGGGAGGCGGAGCTTGCAGTGAGCCGAGATCGCGCCACTGCATTCTAGCCTGGGTGACAGAGAGAGACTCCGTCTCAAAAAAAAAAAAAAAAAAAAAAAGAGTTAGCTGTTGTTACTATTACCATTAGTATTCTTATCATCCTAGTTATTATCACTGTCATCAACAGTTACTGTCACTCTGCACTGATCCTTTACCTAACTGTGTCTGTCTCGTAGCCCATGTCAGCTTTTACACTGAAACCTTAAGACTTGAGATTGATTCATAGCATAAAACAACTTGTACTTTTTTGGATATATTATGTGGGATTCTCAGCTGCATTTCAGACATTTTCAGTGTTTCACCATGCTACAGAAATCATGAAAGAACACTCAGTGAGAGTCATACGCTATGTGTTAGAATGATTAAGTCTAGCAAACATGCAATGTCCCACGTGATCACAGTTTATTGTGGAGGGCCTGAATGGCAGAACCTGAACACAACTACAAAACGTGATTCTTGATCTGTTAATAGACACACAGAGATTTTATCTTCTTTGATTTTATTTTCTTGATCTGAAAACAAGTAAAACCTTTTCTAGCATGAATTTCTGCTAATATAATAGCAGACTAGTGGTTTTTTTTTAATGTACTGTTATGGTTTTTTGCTACATATTTAATGTGCTTAAAGACAAAGATTCAGAAATATACAACCTTATTAATTTCATCAATCCCAGTTTTTATAGATCCTAAACAGTATATTGGCTACTTAACAAGAAATATGTTAATGATTTGCAGATTTTAACATAAAATTCCCTGGTCTCTAACAATATGCAATGGTGATATGTTTTCCAAAAATATAGTAATTTTGGAACAGATTACTGGATGCTCTGAGACAAATTTTAAAGTGCAGATGGCCTGGTACTTCATAGTTACAAAGGATTAAAAGGAAGGAGATTGAAGATTCTCTAAATACATGTGTTATTTCAACATGTCATGTGGATACGCAATATCTCTTCAAAAAAACACCATTGGCTAATGGTTCTAGATCCCTGTACAAGGCTGGCCTATTACTTTGAAATCAGGAGACTGCTTGGGGCAGGAAGCAGCCTTTGACCAGGGGGAAAGTAACTCAGTTCAAATATTGCCCTGTAACTCATGAACACCCTGCCAGGGTAAAGATTATTTAACCTCTCAGAGCCTCAGTCTAATCATTTCTAAAATAGGAGATGAGAGCAATTGCCTTCTTAATGGCATAATGAGAGGTTCCAATTAAATACTGAATATGAAGAAGCTTGTTTCTTATGACTTTCATTCCTCCTGCATAGTAACCACTTCTAAAAATATACACATCTTTCACCTACCACTCTGAGCTGCATTAAACCAATGCTTTGAACTCTGTAATTCAGCTCCATGATTATAACCTTGTGATTATCTAACCTTAGATTTCCCCACTCCCTTTCTCCAACTTTACCTTGTCACCTTTCATAGTGTAATCTCCTACTGTTATTTGTCTCTCCGTGGAATCGGATCAGACCTTCCTTCACTTTGTGTTGTATATGAAGTTTGCCTCTCACTCTTCATTCATTATGATCTACAGCTTATCCTTAGCTTGTTGTCATCAGTATACAAGGGGGAGCTGCTGTTCACCATTCTTTGCTGTTCTCCCATCCAAATACTAACCAGGCTCAATCCTGCTTAGCTTCCAAGATCTGGCACGTTCAGGGTGGTATGGCCGTAGACTCTTTGTTGTTCTCCTTGGTGTTAAGATGAACCTCTGTACAACATCCAATACAGACATAGCATCCTGAATGTGTTAAGAGCTTAAAAAATTCTTGCTAACACTTACATAATTCTGTACCTCCACCCACAAATAAATGCATGGCTGGTTCCATCAGACTGAAAAGGAACTATATAGGATACTGATTGGTCAAAATCTATTAAGTAGATAATCAGAGTTATAAATATCAATAGACATTTTATAAATATTAATATACTTCAAAATACAGCATAATGACTTAGATGATAATCTCTGATTTTTGAATCACTGTGAATAAAATTTGGAGGAGGGTTGTTGTTTTCTTTTCTTTTTTTTTTTTTTTAATGAGCAATGATCCCCACGCCCTCACTTAAATCTTGCTACCATCCACTTTGGCAGTTTCAGAAGACAGATGGGTCTTTCCAACAGTTATGTCCCTGAGGCTCACTTTATGAAGAGAATAATTGTTTAGAAATGTAGTTTAATTTTTAAGTGTTAAAATTTGCCCTTGTCAACATTTTCTGGAGATATCTATTCAATTTCTTTGTACACTATTACAGTAAACAAGGTAGAGCAGGAGATTCCATTTGTACCTAACGTGTGTTAATCGTAAGTTGCAGGAAGATCTAGATAAGCTTGTCTCACAAGATCTATAATTGCTTCTTTCTGGTTGTAACACTCCTGTCCCCACACTTACATTCAAATGTTGCTTTCTCATAGAGGCCTTCCTTCCTGACAACCTATGAAAAATAGCACACACACTCGCACCCACAGAGATGTACACATGACTATTTAGACCCTTGTCCCGACTTATTTTTCTTTATAGCAACTATCATCTTAATTAGTATATATGTTTTTTCTTAATGTCTTCTGTTAATTTAATACAATAAAGATATCAACTGCAAAGGGGAAGGAACTTTGCCTCATTTTTGATCTGTGATCAAAACGTTGGTCAGTGTCTGGTGTATAAAGAACTCTCAACAAATATGTGCTGAAAAATTGAATTAGTGATTAGCGAGAGATAAGGATTCTCCTATACCTCAGCAGAAAGGTGAGTGAGAGTCAGCTGTACTACATCAGTTAGAGGAGTGTGGGCCAGTGTTGCAAAGGGCAGATGTGATGGTCAGCAAAACATCTCTCAGATTTTTTTCCATTCCATTCCTCAAAGACTCATGAAGTGGTGCAAGAGTAAAACTTTTAAAAAATGTAAAGCAAGCTCTTTATAGAAGCCTAACAACAAAATATTGCTGGTGTCAGTCCTGTGGATTCAGCTACTCAGAAGGTAGTGGCTTCAGAATTGACAGCAGCTGGCTCTGGCCACGCGAATGACAGGCAAACAGCACCCGGTGAATTTTCAGTGCCTGGTCAGCAGGAG
Source organism: Homo sapiens (assembly GCF_000001405.40). Lineage (NCBI taxonomy): Eukaryota > Metazoa > Chordata > Mammalia > Primates > Hominidae > Homo > Homo sapiens. The sequence goes on along the minus strand of NC_000008.11, from coordinate 13,534,637 downwards.
CAGTGGCGCTTTTCCTAGAGATCAGTACCTTAACTTCCACTTAGGGTCTGCAGAGCAAAGAGATATCTCTGCTTCTTATGAAGCAGAGAAGAAGGAAAATTGTCCCTGCCATATGGGAGCTGAGAGTCTGCAGGACACACACACCACGCTGTGGGACTTCCAGAACAGTATGTTCCAGTTTTTATCCCTCAAATTGATATAACTTGAAAAACCCAAATTACAATGTTCTGAGCCTTCTATTGAATTACAGTTAGCGAGGGGTGTGTGTGTACTTAAGTGGAAAAAAGAAAAATACAATATTAACAGAAAATACAGTTCTTATTATTAATGAAGTAAAAGGTAGTGCAAACATGTGAAGCTTTAACATTCCTACTGCATGGGTATCAAAAATGGGGAGGAGGTACAGTGAACTGGGTTGTTCAAGAAAAAGTCTTTGGAGGAATAAGTAAAATAGTCTGGAAATTGCTGGCATAAATTTGACACTTTATAACTGTCAAATGAGTGATATCTAAACAGATTGGAGGGAAATTAGAGATAATATTCAAGAATATGACATAAAGAAAGGGGGACTTAGATCATCAGAATTATTTGGACATAGCATGTATTAGTCCATTTTCATACTGCTATAAAGAAATAACCAAGACTGGGTAATTTATAAACAAAAGAGGTTTGATTGATTGCCAGTTCCACATGGCTGGGGAGGCCTCAGGAAACTTACAGTCACGGTGGAATGAGAAGGAGATGCAAGTACCTTCCTCACAAGGCAGTGGGAAAGAGAGAGAGCAAGAAAAACTGCCACTTATAGAACTATCAGATCTTGTGAGAACTTGCTCACTACAGTGAGAACCCCACTATCCAATCACCTCCAACCAAGTCCCTCCCTCCACACATGGGGATTACCATTCAAGATGAGATTTGGGTGGGGACACAGAGTCAAACCATATCATAGCATATAAAGTAATTATGATGGAGCGGGTTTTAAGCATCTTGTTTGGAAATAAATGACTTTGATTCTTGGTCCTCAGCACCTGTCAGTTTCCCAAGGACTCAGAAACTCAACTTCCTCGTCCAGAAAAATTGAGCTAACATTGTCTACTTTTCATGATTATGGAGATTTCAAAAGTTAATGTAAATGAAAATTACAACATGCTACATATGAGTTGTAGTTCATATTGAGTCCCTCCCACTCATTTTAAGATGAGAAAACTGGGGTCCAAATAAGTTATTTTGCCTGAAACCACAGATATAGTTGTTGACTGGGGCTTCAAAATATCTTAATTACTTTAGAATATACTACATGTCAAATATATTTTGTCTTTCCATTTTTGGAGTATTGTCTTCTCACAATGAAAAATTCAGGAAATACTCAAAATTAGAAAACACAAAAAAAAACAACGATTATTCTACTCAATATATAACATTGTTCGTGGTTATATTTTGATATATTTACCCAGTGTTTCTCTTTATGGATTAATTTTTTTGACTGTTTGTTTTACTTCATGGTGGTTTTATGGCCTCCAGCATATGTTAATTAGTATTTTAATGTAAGCATTACTAATGACACATAGCGTTTCAACTAATAATACTCCCATTTTATCTAACAATTATTCCACAGGCTAGTTCCAAATTTTTTAATTGGGTTATGCTATCAAAAACAACTTGAATATAACTAAAAAATAATTAAAATTTAAACTACGTATTCCTTTTATTCACTTTTTTGCCTTTTAACTTATATCATTGGAATACTTGGGGTTAACATGAAGAATTTTGCAAATGGCCAAGTACAGTAGGTTAGAGATGGGGGGATGAGGGTCTACAGGGTGAGAAATTATAATAAGAAGTATTACACAAACATACCAAAAGGCAGTGGTTAAGAGCTTTGTGCTTTAGCCTGGTGGCTCACACCTGTAGTCCCAGCACTATGGGAGGCCGAAGTGGGAGGTTACTTGAGCCCAAGAGTTCAAGATCACAGTGAGCAATGAATGATTGCACCACTGCACACCAGCCTTATGGTAGAGTGAGAATCCACTCACATATCTGAGAGAGAGAGAGAGAGAGAAAGAGAGAGAGCCTGTGCTTTGAAGTCTGACACACTTTCCCATGTGGGGACTCTGACAAGTGAGTTAAGCATTCAGCCTCAGTTACTTTATCTGTACATGGAATATGTTAATAGATCTTTCCTCTCAGAATTCTTACCAGGCTTACAACAACATTTGCTGTGTTTTGCCATTCATGTTCTTATTCTTATCCCACCTTATGAAGCTATGTAATTCAGGGCCTAATTTCTCCTAGGAAGAGACAGGTAAAAGAAATCAGGGAAAGCAAGCCTCTTCTAGCATTTGTGGGGTTTTGTTGTTGTTGTTGTTTTTAGACAGGATCTCACTCTGTCACCCAGGCTGGAGTGCAGTGGTATGGTCACAGCTCACTGCAACCTCAACGTCCTGGGCTCAAGCTATCCCCCTGCCTAAGGCTCCCAAAGTCTTGGAATTACAGGCATGAGCCACTGAGCCTGGCCTCTTCTGGCTTTTGAAATAAACCTCTTTTGGCTCTAATCTAGCCTTAATAAATTCAAAGTATACACAAAAGATTTTGGAGAAAAATATCATAAGCTAGACTTAGGCTTCTGCCTGGAGACTAGAAAATCTTTCCTTGTGCCGGGAGCGGAGAGTCTTGCCCCTAACTAGCTGAGTGACATAAGCAAGTTAAAGTTCTGTAAGTGGATGCATTTTTAAAGTGGGAGAAATAAGTAGGGGGTTTATTTTTTCCTTTTGTAATATATGGTAAGCCTTTCCAAAAATAAGTATGCAAAATGTTTTGATTCATCTTGCTTAGAGATAGCTGAGGTGAGGATGGCTCGTGTTTTCATCAAACATAGCACTGATATTTATTTGGAAGGATAAGATTTCAGCACCCATCTTAATTGACTTTCCCCCAGGAAATTTATTAGCAAGAGAGAAGAAATAATTCCTCAAATTCCACCTATTATTAATGTTATTACTATTATTCATAAACATTGAGTTGCTAGTATTAAGGGTTTTTTGGTTTGTTTGTTTTTAGACAGTCTCACCCTGTCGCCCAGCCTGGAATGCAGTGGTGTGATCTTGGCTCACTGCAACCTGCACCTCCCAGGTTCAAGTGATTCTCCTGCCTCAGCCACCTGAGTAACTGGGATTATAGGCCCCCATCACCATGCTCAGCTAATTTTTGTGTTTTTAGTAGAGATGGGGTTTCACCATGTTGGCCAGGCTGGTCTTGAACTCCTGACTTCAGGTGATCCGCCCGCCTTGGCCTTCCAAATTGCTGGGATTACAGGCATGAGCCACCGTGCCTGGGACTAGCATTAAGTTTTGCTGTAAATGTAACTCAATGTAAAATGCTGTAGTAGCCTGTTCAGGCTGCTATAGCAAATTATTATAGACTGGGTGGTTTCCAGGGCAGACATTTATTTCTCACAGTTCTGAGACTAGAAAATTCAAGATGAAGATGGTGAGCAATTCAGTTCCAGGAAACAACCCTCTTCCTGAGTTCTAGGCTGCCACCTTCTTCCCATGTCTTCACCTGGCAGAGGGAGAACTCTGGGATCTCCTCCTCTTCATATGAAGCCACTAAGCCTATCATGAGAGTCACTCTTTCCTAACTCATTTCAATCTAATTGTCTCCCAAATGCATCATCTCCAAATACCATCACATTGGGGATTAAAGCTTCAGCATGTGAAGTTTGCAGGGAACACAATTTAGCTCATAGCAAATGGTAAAATATTTGTATATAAAGAGTTTTTCATTTGTTTTTAACCACGTAAGCTGTATTTCATGACTCCGAAATGAAATGCTGTAATAGTTTGGATTTGTAGCTAGATTTTGTTTGTATTCAAAAAAATCTTGACAGAACACACTCTTCCTTTGCTTATTAAAATATGAGTACTAATGTAAAATTGGAACAATATGTCATCTGATTTACTATACTCTAGGTCAAGTGGTGAAACAACTATTCAGACAACCTGCCAGGTTCTGTTAGGTTACACCCAGAGTTTCATGGTTTAAGACAAATGCAGGCTGAAGTTTTGACTCGCAGGCATGTGGTCTGGCTCAAGGATATACTACACATGTATCTGGAAACACACATACAGATGCACACACACAGCAAAGCCAAGAAACACAGATATGTCTTCAGAGAATGAAAGCAAAAACCAGAAACTGAGTATCTTCTCCTAAAAATTTCCCCCACCTCTTAGAGAAGCAACTCGGCATTTCCTTTGTGGTTTGCATTTCAAGGAATTTTTAAAAACTCAGCAGTAAATTTATTTCTGAATCTCATTATTCTATTTACCTTAAGAAATGGCTGTACTAATGGACATATTCGCAAGACCAGAAATTTGGTAGGCAAGCATAGAGGACTTAGAGAAAAAGCATCTAAATAGATATGGGAAGAGAAAAGTAATACACTGGTCAACTACAGAGAAGGTTGCAAAGCATCCCTCATTTTTGACTTTTGCCTTCCATTCCTCAGGTGACATCATGTTTCACTCCAGTTTCCCATAACTCCCAAAAGTCATTACAGACCCTCTTGCACAGATGTGCCCCTTGCTCTAAATTAGACTCTGTTTTTCCTCCAACCCTCTTCGCATCCTCCACTACTCAAAATTCTGGTTCCTTCCAGGATAGGGATAGAATCTAATTAAACTAATGCTTACATGTAATTTCCTAGTAGCCTTTCGTCCCTTCTTTCCCTAGCTCTTCACAGTATAGTGTTAGGAATAGAAATAAACATGGCCTTGAGCTCACAATAGAAAAAAAATATATTGTTATTCAACTTAGTATGCAGGAGAGTAACAAATATTTGTATTACAGGAAAAACTAAGATTTTGACTGTGACTTCCCCATTGATTTCTAGAACATAGTAGTCTCATCTTTCTGGAAGGATAGGTGCTCCCTTTTTTCTTATCTATTTGCTTTCTTCCATTCGGAGGCTCTCTCTCAGTTGCAAGGAATGACTTTCTTAAATATAAGAGATCAGTCTTTAGATACAACTGTTGAAATTCTCTCCTACAATATTTTCTAAGTATTCTCCTTTACAATATTTCCTAAATATGAGTCATGTTGAATAGAGGTACGAATTAAGTGTTAAGAGGATATACAAAAGAGAGTAATTAAGTATAATTTTTGGATCAACTGGGAAGGAATTTACAGAAAAGCAGACATTAGAGTTAGACCTTAGGATAGGAAGGTTTGGGGGAAAATGTTGAAATGACTTGTACTTAAAATGGAAAATAAAACAATCTCAAATTATTGTAGGGTATAATGCATGTCTAATTATAGAAATTATCAGGTGACAAGTTAATTGTTATAATTATCTTTAAACTCCCTAATTACACTGTCTTACACATAGTAGGTGCTCAAAAACATCTGCTGTATTTAATTGTTCTGTTTTTTTTCTTTTCTAATCAGCATTTGAACAGCAAGTAGCTTAATGGTAATAAAACTATTTGGCCCATTTTATTTTAAGAAAAACATTTCCTCTAATTCACTTATTCTGTTCGCTTATACATCGTATGTTTTTTGGTTTCTATCTTCTTCTCGTTGAGTAATAAATGTCACTGTTGTTACTTCCCTCGTCTAGAAGAGAAGGAAATAATCGTCTTGGCATAGCTATTCAGACATAAGCTAAGGACAGTGTTCAAGCATGCATGGTGGTGATAGAACAGTCTTCTCTTAAGAACTTCAGCCTCATCAGATTGGCTTCACTGTTGTACAACCCAGAGAAAACAGTTATGGAGACCATCACCCAGGGGATTCTATCTCCAAGTTCAGTGGGTCTGTTGCTCAAACTGACTTTGCATGTGGAGTTGTTTTTGTCCTAAACTTTAAAGTCAAATGTGGTGTTTTTGATAGTTCACACCTTCTACTCAAGACCCAAAATATTATTTTAACTCATTAAAAAACTTGCAGCTCAGCAAGGCCCCAAATAAAATAGCTACTGTGTTTCTGTGATTCATTTGTCTACATAAGAACTTGGCAAATATAATCCACACTCTACTTTGGCCCACAAAAAACTAATATAAGTAGAGGAAATTCTGTTATATTTTATTCCGCAATAGGATTATTTTGGTAGTGAAATTCAACCTTCCAGCATAAGGATAAAAGAAATCTTTTATAACACATGTTTTACAAACTCTTTCAAACAATTTTTCTAACATTTGAATTTTGGCAACGTTTTTGCTACTTGCTGCCCAACATATTTTTCTTCAACTTACAATCAGATATGTAAATTTACAAAATGTTAAATTTTTAAGTTTTTTAAATTTTCATTTTTATACTAAATGAAAACCTGGTCATTGAAATTCATGAAAGAAAACACTGTTGGTGTATTGTTTTATCCAAGATGATAATTAAGACCAGGGTGTAGAAGTAATATTGTAGAAATGTGAATATGTTCAGTGAAATACTGAGAACACTGAACTTTTTAAGAGTTTGATAAAGCATTGTTTATGCTTTTTCAGTTATCGTTGTATTCCTTGATTCTTATGGTTAAGATGTCACTTCCACAGAGGAGAAAATAAATCATTATTTATCTAACAATAATGATTTTTTTGGATGCCCATGTGTAAACCAACATGTTTACACTTAAAAATTGGCTGAATTCACTTGTCATAAATGTGGCTAATAACTACTTAATACTTTTAAAATATAAATGATTATCCTACTGGTTTATAGCGTTAAAACTGGATAATGCTTAAAGTGGCAAAAGCAAGGAGACCTCTATTCCAAGAAAATATAAGTTTGCTTAGTGAGCATCCATTAAAGCTAAGGATTCTCTAAAGAAATTCCCCTAGTTCACGTATAATAGATGCTGTTTCATACCTATTTGACAAAATAGTGGTGAAAACATTTTATTTCTCTGGACCTTGACCAGATACCTCATCTATAAAAACATTACAGGAAAATATAATATTCATTCTTTTCCAGTGCATTTACCAAAATAACAATATGATTGGCCATAAAGCAAGACTCAACAGATTTAAAATAATTCAAATCATCCATAGTAGGTTCTCCAACCATAATGGAAGTAAATTAGAAATCAATAACAAAGAGAAGAATAAAACAACAGACAGTTATCCCCTTTGAACATAACATCGTTTTCCTTAATATCCGCAAATTAAATTCAATAATATATAAAAGATAGTATAACAATGGATGGTTTATCCCAGGAATGCAACATTTGTCTAACATTCAAAAATTAATCAATGAAATTTGACATATTAATAAACTAGAAAAGACAAAAAAGCTTCATGCTGACTAAAAGAGAAAAATCATATTGAGAAAAGCATTTTTCAAATTTTCGTATATTTTCCGATAGAAATTCTTAGCATACTAGGAATACAGCAGGATTTCTCAACTTCAACATCATCTACATTTTGGGTCTGATAATTATTTGTTATGAAAGCTGTTGTTCAACATTGTAATGTAGATTGTATCCTATGGAGTAAAGCAACAACAACAGTCACTCAATCGATCAGTAGCTTTAAGTTATAAAATAAATAAAACTGCCTATTCACGTACAATATGATCACCTATGTAGATCTTAAGAATCTTTGAAGCTGCTGGAACTAGTTAGCTTTGCAAGTCAGCAGCATACTAGTCAATGTTCCAAAATGAAATATATTTCTACACAATAGAATAAACATTTACAGGAATTTTTTTATGAAAACTTTTTTTTAAATTTTACTTTAAGTTCTAAGGTACATGTGCACAACGTGCAGGTTTGTTACATATGTATACATGTGCCATGTTGGTGTGCTGCACCCGTTAACTCGTCATTTACATTAGGTATATCTCCTAATGCTATCCCTCCCCTGTCCCCCAACCCCCTGGCAGGCCCTGGTGTGTGATGTTCCCCTTCCTGTGTCCATGTGTTCTTATTGTTCAATTCCCACCTATGAATGAGAACATGCGGTGTTTGGCTTTCTGTCCTTGCGATAGTTTGCTCAGAATGATGTTTTCCAGCTTCATCCATGTCCCTATAAAGGACATGAACTCATCCTTTTTTATGGCTGCATAGAATTTTTAAAAATACATTTACAATAGTCTTCAAAATATAAAGTACTAGAGATAATTCTGACAAAGAATATACAATATTCTTACAGTAAAAAGCAGGAAACACTCCTGAGAAACTAGAAAACTAAATAAAAGAAAATACATTATGCTCATGGAATAGAAGACTCAATATTATCAAGATGTCAGTTTTCCTGCAATTGATCCAAATAATAAATTGATCAAAATCCCAACAGTCTTTTTTACAGAAATGGACAAGCTGATTCTTAAATTCATGCAGAATTACAATGGCCCTAGATTATCCAAAACTACTTTAAAAAGGAATAACAAACTTGAATACTTATAATACTTGGTGTAAAACTTATTGTAAAGCTATAATAGTTAATGCAGTGTGGTATTGTATGCGATAGAAAAATAGATTAAGAGAATGGAATAGAGAATTTAGAAACAGGAAGACACATAGTTGGTCAATTGATTTTTGTTAAAGGTGCAAAGAAAATTCCATGGGAAAAGAATTGTCACAAATGGTTTTGGAACAATTGCATGTCCATACTTAAAAAGAAAAAACTTTGATCCATACTTTCACCATATAAAAAATTATCTCTACATATGTCATAGAACCTAGGTGTAAAACCTAATACTATAAAACTTCTAGCATATAGTGTAGGAGAAATCTTTGTGATCTTAGATTAGGCAGAGATCTTTTTGCCATGAGACCAGAAACATGATCCATAAAAGAAAAAAACACTTGAGAGTTATTTCATTTATCAAAATTAAAAATTTCTACTCTTCAAAAGGCATTTTCAAAAGAAAACTAAAAGACAAGCTAGACTAGAAGAAATATTTGCAAATCACCTACATGATAAAGAGCTTATATGCAGAATATATGGTCTCCCATAAGGAAACCAACAAACCAATTTTGGAAAATGGACAAAACACATGAAGAGACCCTTGATCAAATATATGCTGACAAATACGCATGTGAAAAGATTCTCAACATTACTAATCGTTAGGAAATGAAAGTTAAAACCACAATGAGAAATGACCATACATCTATTAGAATGGCTAAAACTAAAAAGACTCATCATACCAACTGTTGGCATGCATGTGTAACAACAAAAATTCTTAGAAATCGGTGGTGGTAATATACAATGGTATATCCACCTTAGAAAACAGTTAGAGAGTTAAAGGTAAAAATATGGCTACCAAATGGTCCTACCACTTACTACTAGGTATTTACACAAGGAAATTAAAGAATGTATACATACAATGACTTGCACATGAATATTCATAGCAGCTTGATTTGTAATGGCCAAATAACAATATCCCAATGTTACTGCCCCAAATGTCCATCACCAGATGACTGGATAAATAAATCGTGATATATTCCTCCAATGAAATACTAATCAACAGTAAAAAGGACAGATACATGCAACAACATGGATGGATCTCAAAATAATTATGCTAAGTGAAGAAGCCACAAAAGGTACATACATATGACTTCATATACATAAACTTCTAGAAAATTTAAACCAATCTGCAGTGACAGAAAGCAGATCAGTCGTTGCCTTGGGAGCAGAAGAAGGGAGAAAGGAGCAAGAGGGAGAGATGGCAAAGAGGCAGGAGGAAACTCGACAGTGATGGATATGTTCATTATTTTGTTTGTGGCAATGATATCACAGGCATATGAATTTGTCAAAAGCAATCAAATTGTTCACTTTAAATATGTAGAGTTTATTGTGTCAGTTAACTCTCAATAAACCTGGTAAAATACATAAGAGAAATGCCAAAAGCAACTGAAGTCTGGAAGAAATGAGAGATGAATTGAAAAAATGAAAAAGAAGAAATTGGCAAAAGAGCTCAGAGATGAAAAAAAAAACACAACAGAAATATACTACCTGAAAATGAGAGTATACAAAAACAATGCCTTTCTTTGCAACTTTAAGAGATGGAACTGTTCTCCTGCACCCAGATGTATCATGTTTCATTGAGAGAAATACAGGAGCTGGTATTAGATAAAAAATCATGCAGATGACTATGTGCCAAATTGTAAAACAATTTTTTGTTTCATAGATATCATGTAACCAATAGACTATTACGGTACAAATTTTAAAATACATAGCGAAAAGCAACAACAAAAACAATTTGTTTTAATAGAATAGATAGCTCACGCCTGTAATACCAGCACTTTGGGAGGCTGAGGCAGGTAGATCACTTGAGGTCAGGAGCTGGAGATCAGCCTGGCCAAGATGGCAAAACCCCATCTCTACTAAAAATACAAAAATTAGCTTGGTATGGTGGTGGGTACCTGTAATCCCAGCTACTCAGGAGGCTGAGGCAGGAGAATTACTTGAACCCTGAAGGCGGAGTTTGCATTGAGCCCAGATAGCGCCACTGCACTCCAGCCTGGGCAACAGAGTGAGATTCTGACTCAATAATAATAATAATAATAATAATAATAATAATAATAATAATAATAAATAGAATAGATAACAACTGTGATGGTGGCTAGCTGAGATTAGCTGAGTGACTGAATCATGATATCTAATATCCACTGACATTTTCACATGCGTCACACTCCCAACTGAAATCAGTCCCTTTGCATTAGATCCCATCCCCTCTCTCCTACTTAATAATGCACTTCAACATTTCTATACTCTCCTCACTCTTCAACATTTCTATACTTTCTCCCCTCCCCCTTGGGAACATACCATATTAATTTAAAAAAAAAAGAACAGAACAAAATTTTGCAAATATACTGTTATTCTTCCATCCTAATAAAAGCATCTCACGGTCCCAGATAGTTACCATGCCATGTATTTTCTCTCCTTTATTTGTGTCTCCAATCTTGGCTTTCAATTTTCTTCTAAACCATGCTAATTTTTTCCATATCATTCTTTGAACTTGTTCCTTTCAATATCAAGAGTGACCTCTGCTTTCTTAAATCTAATAGCCAATTAGGTATTTGTCTTCTTATTTTATTTACACACCCTCTCGTCAATCTCATCTAATTTTGTACTTTAAATTGCAAATACGTTTGAGATTCCCAAATGTATTTGTCTAGCCCAGATCTCTTTTCCAAACTTGAATTCATATGTCCAACTGCCTCTTTAACACTTCTAGAAATTTCTAATAGACATCTCAAACACAGCATGCCCAAAACTAAAATTCTGAACTCTGTCTCACAAGACTTGCTTTATCTCTAGGATTTCCTTTTTTAATTGATGATGACTCCATCTTTCAGTTGCTCATAAAGCATTTTTGACTCTTCTTTTCTTCTTATATAGCAAATTTAATTCTTAAAAAAAATTGGTAGCATGAACCACAACAACAGCTTCAAATCTGATATTTCTCATTACCTTCACATGAGCCACTATCCATCATCTCTCACCTGGATTACCACAGTGACCTGGTCTCCCTACTTTGGCTCTAAATTCTTTTCAACTAATTTTATTAAAATGTAAAGTAGATCTTGCCACATCTCTGATCAAAATCTTTCCAGGGCTCTACCTTTCACTGAATGAAATTGAAACTGCTTACTTACAAGACACTACCTAACCTTCTTTCCTTAACAACTTGAGATATTCTCCCTCTCTCTCTCCTTCCATTTTAGCCACATTAATTCCTTGCTATTTCTGGAAACTGCCAGGCACACGCTTCCTTAGGACTGTGCACTATCTGTTCATTCTACCTGGAACTCTGTGACCCAAGATATCTATATGGTCATCTCTCTCACCTTTTTTTAAGTCATTACTGATAAGCCACCTTTGCAGTGAGACTTACTCTGGTGTTTCTTATTTAATTATATAACATGATTGCCCCTCAATCCTCATTCCACACCCTCCTTAGCATGCTCTGCATTTTCTGTTTTCACTAGCAATTGTCCATATACTACATAATACTACATAATTTACTTATTTTATTTATTTTTATATTTATTTATTTGTTTATTTATTTATTTTTGAGACTGAATTTTGCTCTTGTCGCCCAGGCTGGAGTACAATGGCACAATCTTGGCTCACTTCAACCTCTGTCTCCTGGGTTCAAGCGATTCTCCTGCCTCAGCCACCCGAGTAAATGGGATTACAGGCACCCACCACCATGCCCAGCTAATTTTTGCATTTTTAATAGACACAGGGTCTCACCATGTTGGCCAGGCTGGTCTTGAACTCCTGACCTCAGGTGAACTTCCCGCCTCAGCCTCCCAAAGTGCTGGGATTACAGGCCTGAACCACCGCTCCCAGACTTATGTTTATTCTTGATTACCAATTCCGTACCCCCCATTTAAGCTACATGAGGCCAAAGTCGTTCCATTGTTTGTAAGGTTGTATTTAACGAGGCATCCCAGATTTCTTCTCCATTGTAAAAGCTCTTTTCTGGTTAAATCTCTGCCCTTTGAGATTCATTCTCAGCAGCTCCTGATGCCATACCCCACTGCGCAGTACCAGGAAACATTCTCATCCCACCTTTTGGAGCGGGTGGAAGTCGTAGGTATAAAGTTCTGACAAAGGCTCGTAACCTTGAAAAAATATCTCTTCCAATTTCTGTTAAAGTACAAATGTACCCTTCTCCGTCTTTCCTTTCAAATGGAACCATTTGAGGGCCTCACCTGGGAAGAAAAAGGTGCAGCTGTGATATGACACATGTTGAATGTGGGTACTGCATTGACAATACACAGACTGGTGTTATGAACATAGTAATACACAGTTAATATCACTTGAATGTGTGGATGGATATGAAGCATTTTCACTTGGTATGTGTACTGAGGTTCTCAAATGGTTCCACTTGAAAGGGAAAGACAGAACAGGCATATTTGTACTTTAACAGAAATTGGAACAAATATTGTTTCAAGGACACGAGGCTTTGTCACATTTCATACCTGCTTCACTCCCCCAAATGGTGGGCTGAGAATGTTGCACAGTGCTGCATTGTGAAGTATGGGATGAGGAACTAGTTAGAATGAATCTCAGAAGGCAGAGATTTAACCAGAGCAGAGCTTTTACTGAGGAGTAGGAATCTGGACATATTTTGAGGGGACTGAAGACAGGCAGTTGCACCTTCTATCCCAGGGGAGCAGAGGGTGTAGGAGAGAATGCGTGGCCCCATTTGAAAGACTTATAAGAGAAGCTGAAGACTGTGGGCTCTAAGCCAACCATGGCAAGGGAACTTTTTTTTTTTTTAATTTTAAGTTCTGGGATACATGTGCAGAATGTGTAGGTTTGTTACATAGGTAAATGTGTGCCACGGTGGTTTGTCACACCTATCTACCCATAACCTAGGTATTAAGCCCCACGTGCATTAGCTATTTACCCTGATGCTCTCCCTCCCCAAGCCCCTCCAACAGGCCCCAGTGGGTGATGTTCCCCTCCCTGTGTCCATGTTCTTTCATTGTTCAGCTCCCTTTTATGAGTAAGAACATGCAGTGTTTGGTTTCCTGTTTCTGTGTTAGTTTGCTGAGGATTATGGCTTCCAGCTCCATCCATGTCCCTGCAATGGACATGATCTTGTTCCTTTTTATGGCTGCAAAGTATTCCATGGTGTATATGGACCACGTTTTCTTTAACCAGTCTATCACTCATGGGCTGGGCAATCAGGCAAGAGATGGGAACATTTCTTGAACATACTAAAGATATATGGACCCTTTTTTTGGCCATGAATTGAGGATTTCAGAGAATATTATGGTGTAATGTAACAAGGGTGGTGACTGGAGGGTGGTACATGGTGATGTCAGCTTAAGTATTCACATAAAAAGGAAGCTTTGACAGAGGAAGAGCCTCAGCCTCTATGGGCAGGGCACACACAGACCTCTCTAAACAAAATCTTGCATGGCTGGGAATCTTTGAGTTTCTGATGGTACCCTAGCCCTACAGGACAGGCAGGCAGACTCATTCGCTTCTAAGACATACGTGCCCTCTTGTCTGTGTCAATATTTTTTTTATTTGCTAAGTTTCTTTTTTTCTTTTTTTAATTATACTTTAAGTTCTGGGTTACATTTGCAGAACATGCAGTTTTGTTACATAGGTATACACGTGCCATGGTGGTTTGCTGCACCCATCAACCCATCACCTACGTTAGGTATTTCTCCTAATGTTATCCCTCCCCTAGCCCCCAACCCCCTACAGGCTCCAGTGTGTGATGTTCCCCTCCCTGTGTCCGTGAGTTCCCACTGTTCAACTCCCACTTATGGGTGAGAACATGCGGTATTTGGTTTTCTGATCTTGTGATACTTTGCTGAGAATGATGGTTTCCAGCTTCATCCATGTCCCTGCAAAGGGCATGAACTCTTCCTCTTTTATGGCTGCATAGTATTCCATGGTGTATATGTGCCACATTTTCTTAATCCAGTCTATCACTGATGGACATTTGGGTTGGTTCCAAGTCTTTTCTATTGTGAATATTGCCACAATAAACATATGTGTGCATGTGTCTTTATCGTAGAATGATTTATAATCCTTTGGGTATATGCCCAGTAATGGGATTGCAGGGTCAAATGGTACTTCTAGTTGTAGATCCTTGAGGAATCGCCACACTGTCTTACATAATGATTGAACTAATTCACACTCCCACCAACGGTGTAAAAGTGTTCCTATTTCTCCACATCCTCTCCAGCATCTGTTGTTTCCTGACGTTTTAATGTTTGCCATTCTAACTGGCATGAAATGGTATCTCACTGTGGTTTTGATTTGCATTTCTCTAATTACCAGAGATGATGAGCATTTTCTTCATATGTCTGTTGCTACATAAACGTCTTCTTTTGAGAAGTGTCTGTTCATATCTTTTGCCCATTATTTGATGGGGTTGTTTTTTTCTTGTAAATTTATCAAGATAACTTTGTTTTCATATCTATTCTTGGACTGTAATAATTTTCAGTGAAGTGGGATAATGAACATCAGTAGTCCAAAAAGCAGGAATCAATGGTTTTGGAGAGCTTATATGATTTTGCTACTTTTGATAATTTAAGACCAAACTTAAGTGTGTTCCTTTAATGTGTGCTTTCAGGTAAATACTATATGGTTACCAAGTTGGGTGTCAAAATTGTGACAAAATTGATCAAAAAACTAATCATGCGCATGATGCTTATTGAATATAAACTACAAATTATATGGTTTTTCTTGGTCTGGATGTGTCTACAAAAGTGAACTTATTTAAAGAAAACACATGAGCCAGGAGCGGCAGCTCACACCTGTAATCCCAGCACTTTGGGAGGCCAAGGCGGGTGGATCACAGGGCCAGGAGCTCGAGACCATCCTGGCTAACACGGTGAAACCCCGTCTCTACTAAAAATACAAAAAAAATAGCTGGGCATGGTGGCGGGTGCCAGTAGTCCCAGCTACTTGGGAGGCTGAGGCAGGAGAATGGCGTGAACCTAGGAGGCGGAGCTTGCAGTGAGCCGAGATTGCGCCACTGCACTCCATCCTGGGCGACAGAGTGAGACTACATCTGGGGAGGGGGGAGGGATAGCATTAGGAGATATACCTAATGTAAATAACGAGTTGATGGGGGCAGCACACCAACATGGCACATGTATACATATGTAACAAACCTGCATGTTGTGCACATGTACCCTAGAACTTATAGTATAATAAAAAAAGTAAATAATAAAAAAATTCTTGATAATATATTTTTAAAAAAAGAAAACACATGTAAAGCTTACTGAAAAAATAAATTAGAAAATCTGATAAATTCTACTTTTATTGTTTCCAATACAGTAACTTCAATAAATTACAAGCAAATTTTTAGAGATTTTTAGACGAATAATTTTCATGGACAAAGTGTTCTTAACATTTATTACACTAACTGTATGCATGTAGATATTTCAAAATACTTTCAAGGTATTTATTCTCTTTATATATTAATTTCAAGTTCATTGCTATTATAAACATATTCATTAACAAAAATGGAAAACATAAAAGCTGACTTCCACGCATAATATCACAAATGTCTAATGTGACTGAATTAATGATGTTGCTACTTATTTCATAAAAGAGTAAAACACTATTTTCAAAGGATAGATCTTGCTTTACATAAAATGTTCTTGAACTGCATGAGAGACACTGAATAATTCTGTACAGAAGTCCAGATTCAACTTTCCTGAAAATGATTGGGAAATGACTAGATAAATGATCATAGCTAATGTTTATTGTTTAGGTAAAAGTACCTAAGTAGAAAAGAGATCTTTAGGCCAGGCACAGTGGCTCACGCCTCTAAACCCAGCACTTTGGGAGGCCGAGGCAGGCAGATCACTTGAGGTCAGGAGTTTAAGACCACCCTGGCCAACACGATGAAACCCTGTCTCTACTAAAAATACAGAAATTAGCCAAGTGTGGTGGAGTGCATCTGTAATCCCAGCTAGTCAGGAGATGGAGGCAGGAGATTTGCTTGAACCTAGGAGGCGGAGGTTGCCTTGAGCCGAGATCACCACCACTGCACTCCAGCCTGGGCAACAGAGCCAGACTCTGTCTCAAAAACAAAAACAAAAACAAAAAAAAGAAAGGTGATCTTTAAAATACCATTTAATCCACCTCCTGCTATTCTTCTTTCCACAGAGTACATAATTGTTCCACCACTATAACGGTTTCACATGTATACATTTAACTTGGAGTTCAATAGAAGAGAGAGAAAGATTCTAAAAATACCTGAAAGAGAGATGTAAACATTAAAAAAGGCAATAATTTAAGTGGTAAAAATAATTCTAGCTAATGGCTTTATATGGACTAGCTTTTTGCATTGTGACAATTCTTAGTTATGGAAGCTAAGACATCCTCACCCCGGTTAGGTAACTCACACAGGTCACAAAAGCTGTTAGTTTTGGAGCAGACTCCTATCCTGATACTTTGTTTTCAAGTTCTTAACTGTCCCTGTCCCCTTATTTGATTAGCTGATCCAGTACAGAGTAACAGTCAAACATTTAAGGAAGTTGGTATTTAGATTTGCAAGTAGAAAGAAGGGGACAAATATTTTGAACTCCTTCAGTGTTCCTGACACAATACTAAGTACTTAGGAAGTTTTCTCACTATTTATCTTTACACTCATATTTGGTAAAGCCTTTATAAGACTATAAGATCTGAGATTTGTTTGGAATCAAGCAACTCAACAATGAAAAATAAATATAAGTAATTAAAGATTTGGGAAGTAATCCTATTAATAGAAGAAAACATAATGTATTTTTTGTGTAGAAAAGGGTATGTTTATGAGAAACTTACTAACAAGAGTTTCTAGATATCTAAAAGGCATTTGTGAACAGAGTTTTCTTGTTTTCCCAAGCCAATAGAAATAGAAACAAAACTAAAGTATATGGCGCGGGGTACAGTATTCATGAATAAAATGTAGCTAAGAATTAGCATGATGCTGATATAATATTGAGTAACCACTGTATATCAGTACTAAAGGCAGTGACAGAGATAGAGATATCAAGTTATATTAGGAAAGACATAATATCAGTTCTCATTCCTTTCTTCTCCAGTGTTTTTCTTAGGGAAATAAACATAAATACACAAATATTTCTGCATATAAATTTCATCCTGCTTTCCAATCTATAAGTTATGTGAAATTGTCTCTATTTTTAAAGAGAAACTATTAGAGTTTAAGAAGTCTTCCCAATTTAATAAAGAAATTAAGTGGAAGTCAAGGAAGGCAGTTTATGGAGAAAAAATTAAAGCACAAAGCTTGGAGCTAGAATATCTGAGTTCCAGTGTGGACCTGGGCACTTTGTATCATTTGACTGTGAGAAAATTGCTTCTCAATACTTTATTTGTAAAATAAAACATATGAATACACGCAAAATTGTTGGAAAGATTAAATAGGCATACTGTCAGTAGAAACACTTTGAATATAAATATAAATACTTTTTAAAGAATTTATGGAAGAACAGACTTCTTTCTTGGCCTATGGTTGAAGATTAAATTAAAGAAACCTAAATGCTCATGTTTTTAGTCAATAAGACTTTGATCTAAACTTTTAAAGCTGCTTCTGACCAAACGTTTTTATTTGACTACTTCTCATCTTCAAACTCATGCACAGTATAAGTCATTCTTGCCATCTAACATGGGTCTAATATGGTTCATGATTTGCATTAACTTTGAGAGATTTTAGCTACCTAATAAGGAAAAAAATAGTAGTTAGAACCTTGTGCATCTTTGAGTTATCACCTACCCAATATTATCAAAAAGTACTACAAGATAGCCCTTGTGATATACAGGGATGGAGAATAACAGTGAACAATGAAAACTACTTACAATTTCAGAGAAGAACAGGATAGATCTTAGGGCCAACAAGTTTAAGATGTCTTTTACCTCTTTATATGTTACTCATTTTATCACATCCAACTGGAATTATTCTTGCACTTCCTATTATTGAAAGCTTCTAGAAATTTGCAAGAAGCAGATAGACCTAATAATTAATCTGATCATCAGTCCCCCCCCAAAAAAATGCTTGAGTCATAAATAGCAGCGAAATCCATTGATTGTAAATAAAGTAGAAGGGAGACATGACTGAGCCATTTCCACCAAGCAAGATAATTAAAGTCAGAGATGCTGTTTCCTGCTTCCCTGGTATAAACAATGAAGCTGCTCTACTGGCCTCTCCACAGCCTGGATGTCCCAAAACCACCTCCCTCTTCTTTCCTTCCACATTCTCTAAAGAGGATTCTGGGTCATAAAGGAAGGAAAATTGGTGTAACTTTTTTCCTGAAACGACTTCAGCTTCCTCTGTGTTTGTATTTGTGATATCTTATTATAAGACGAGCTAACATCTATTATTAATTGATGCACTAATTAAAGCCATACTTGCAGTTTCCATTAGCTTATTCCCTAAATTCTCCAGAGTTGCCTGTCTGGTTTTAATCAAAACCAAATGGTAGTCCAAATTCCCAACCTGGAGCAGCTAGGAGGAAGTCATTCAAGGGAGGCACAAGAAAGCAGAAAAGATAAACAGATGATAGTTCACAAAATTTGTGACGGACGAAGGATGCAGATACCATGAGCGGCTTTAGAGATGTGATTCAGGAACGCTGCCATGCTAGATGGAAGCAGTTGTAAGTGTTTAATGTCAGCAAGACTCTAATACGATCAAGATGGAGCCTGTCTTCTGCTCCAGCACTGGATTTTTGTAACTGGAGGATTCTGACTAGAGGTAATGCGCTGCTGCATTTGCCATAACACGAACTATTTTAATTCTGTGAAGGATTCTTGTGATCAGAGAGATCTGGAAGAAATCGTTCTATTAACTGGATGCTTGGGATTTTACTTACAGATGGTCTCAGGGACAGAATGAAAAGCTGCAGCATTTCCAATTTTAAGTCATGTTCAAAAAAGGTTTTGCCATTTAGAAGAATTATGGTATTAAGGCTAAATTCATCTTGCTCTCTTAAAAGATCTTTTGAAATGAGAGCAAGCACAGGCATTTTGATTAAGCTGTGCATATACATTTAATATAGTGGAAAGGTTGTGGATAGAGAGAAAACTACGTTTTCTTTCTTTCTTTCTTTCTTTTTTCATAAGCAGTGTGGGATAGAAAAAGCTCTAGGACTTTATGACTCTACAGCTAATCACCTCAAGAGCTTTGACAAAACTCACTTGAGTTCTGTGTAAAATCAGAACTCCTAAAACGCCCAGGCGGCTGGGCTCTCCCCTCCTCCCCTCTCTTCGTACAGCCTTTCTAGCATGCACACTCCTCAGAGGCAGGAAATACTTTCCAGGCAATCTGGGCCTGGTTGTGGAGGCCCCTTTTGCAAAACCTCAGTCTGAATTTAGTAGACAGAAGTCACTAGGAATGCCTTGACAGGATCCTGCCTTAGCTAAGGCTCCCTCCAGCTGCAGAGGGTGTTTTTGTTAGACTCACACACTGCGTGAAACTGCTCAGAATAGAGCCATGATCTCAACCACGAAATGGGAACTTAGATTTTGGAGAAACTAACGGGGACGGACTTCTTTCCTAGCCTGAGTGTTGAGCAGTGTCATGCCTTGGCGTTTCAGCTCCTCGTTGTCTAGGTAAGACGCTATGGACTATCTTTATGCTTTGAGGCGGTCTTTGAAGAGGCAGAAAGATTGAGATAAATGTTAGCATCTTGCACGGAGTTGGTGACTTCCTAGGTTTTAGAGCAAAGCCATAAAATCAGAAGTGGAAAATGTTTGATAAGTAGAAAATTCTGAGTCAATTCGTTTTAGCAAACTGTCAGTTCTAAAACAGGCTCCATATAGATTTAACTCTTTTCCTCCATAAAGTAAGATTTTATTTTTATCCCTTTTTACGTTTAACTTATTTATTAATTGAGCTGTCGGATCAGTTTTCCTATTTCTTGGCATAACGTGAAACAAATACATTTTCTCACACATCAGTGTGAGGTGTAAATGAATTCCTCCCCTACCTTCCTTTGCCAACAGGGAGAGTAGAAAGCACCCGAGTGACTTGTGCTTAATAATCAGTCTCCAAAGAGTATTTTGTGTCTCATTTAAAACTACGAAGATTGAATTTCTTATTATTTTACCCAAGCCAGTTTCAATCATATGTCAAGCTTCTCCTGTACAGCTTAAAAGGTTCATTTAAAAAAAAAAAGTAAACACGTGAAATTTCAGGAATTATTTCTGTCCTAAATAGTATTTAATCTGAGTTTTGGAAATTTAAATGTCGGAATCGAATTTAGTTTATATTAATTTTCCTGGATTCACTGCTTGCTCCGGTCACATTTTGTGTAATATTTTGAATAACTGAAGTCAATCTCAATGACACTGACACTCATTATAACTCTTTTAAGGCAGCCAGAAATCACTCCAGTCATATGGAAACTGTTTGTGTCCTTACTTATGTAATCGTAAAATTACATTTCCACCTGACTGTAGTCTCTTCAAGGTAATCTTAAATGTTTAAATGTACAATATATTAGAAAAGAAGTTTAGTAATGACCGAAAAAGTGTGGACTTATAATGCATAAGATACTGTTATATTTCTGAATATTTATAATAAAATTCATCATTTTATAGAAATAAAATGGTACATAAAGGGAAGAAATATTCATGTACATTTTCAAATCTATTAGATGAATACAAAATATACTAAGTGAAAGATGGAGAGCTATTTTGACAGTTGGATCATAAGAAATGAAGTAACTGTTTTCATTATAAGTTTTTATATAGTACAAGGTGACCATCTGCTATATTAGCTATTCTCAAATTTTATGCTAGAATAACTTATATTGATAAATTTTAACTATTCACTGACAATTTGTGTTAAAACTTCTTAAATATGAGAAAAAGAATCTACTTTTTATATATGTGGAAGATAAAATACTGACTTATCTAAATTATGATTTAATTAAAATCTCCAAATGGAATTTCAGAGAAGGAAAGAACATAAGAGATGGTCTCCTCTAACAATGGCTTGAGGTTGTCTACAAGAAGCTGAGAAATGGGATTTAAAAGTGACCTGTCCAAGGTCACACCTCTAGCTAATAGAAGAGAGGACAGCAGAACCACAGTGCCCTGATTCATAATTCAGATACCTTTTTATCCCATCATCCTGCCCTCCCATAATAATTATGCATAATGAAGTATGAACATGTCCAGTAGAAGGGTGCTTTGCAGACAGAAATTTGCAGTTCCTCTAATTTAAAAAAAAAAAAAAAAAAAGGTAAAACTGTCACCAATGTTAATTATGTGGGGAAAAAAATCCTAACTTTAAAAAAAAATCAAATCAGTATGCCTTCAATAAACACTTTACAGTAGTAACTTGCTTTATGACTATTTTATTATATTTGATGTTTATGTCAAGAAAATCAATCCATATGCTAATAATTATATTAATTTTAATCTGATGTTTCTTTAAAAATAGGGCTAGAAAACAGCTTTTCTAATTTATATCCTTGTACTCAAATGATCATAATGAAACTGTCCCAACCAATGACTTTCAGAGGCAATTTTACAGCACCACCCCCAGGCATCCTTTCTTCTATCTAGCCTAAATCATTGTTGCTGTAGCTTATTTCAAGTTCTATGTGGGTCTTTTCACTAAATATATAAAAAGCCTAAGTTGACATATAAAAAATATGTTTACATTTCTCCAGCATGTTTGCAATCCCTTAATTGATTTGTATGTCTGCTCTAAGCCTTCTACAAAGTCATTTAATTGTAGAATGCAGAATTTTTACAGTATATAAATAAATGTCTGAACAACGTGGTATAAAATGGGAGCGTGGGCTATTTCATCTGCATCATACTTCATATATGACAATATTTGTTGCTGTGTGTGCTGAAGCAGTATACCTTCTCAGACAAGACCCTTTCTCATAAATGTAACACATTCCATTTCTAATAGCTGCCATTTCCTTAGAGAGAATGTGTCACGATACTTTTTTTTTCCATTTTCATGACCAGATTGAGTTTCCTGATGTTATTACTACTTAAAAGAGACACTATTCAACACTTCCTTTCAATGTCACCACACTCTACATTATTGGAATGAGAAATAAGTGCAGTAAAGTGGTGGCCCTTATAGCTGACTGCCTGATTCCTAGAAGGCCTAGTAAAAGATAGCACATCACTTCATTTTCTTCATAAGGACATTATAA
The DNA here is from genome assembly GCF_000001405.40 of Homo sapiens. Classification (NCBI taxonomy): domain Eukaryota; kingdom Metazoa; phylum Chordata; class Mammalia; order Primates; family Hominidae; genus Homo; species Homo sapiens. Next base: position 13,512,028 of record NC_000008.11, on the reverse strand, counting down.
TTTAAAAAAAAGAATTTTTTCTCTCTCTGTCTATACCTACCCATACCATATAACTCACTACAAATACTTATGGGATGGTTTAATCTTATTCATAGAGTTTTAGATCTTACAGGCTTAAAATAGGTCAAAAATTGATCATTTGAAATTTGTCTTTTGTTTGTTTTTTGTTTCCTCTTGAAAAATGAGTGATGTCAGTGTTATAAAATGAGAATCACTCTTTAAAAACTATTACAGTATGGCAAAGTTCCAAATGACCAAGATCTAGATCAGGGATTTTATTATCAAAATAGAGACATGTCAAGAATTGCACATGAGAATTGGAAGAGGACAAGGGAACACTGAAAACTTTCAAATTTGAGGGAAGTAGTGTGAATATTGGGCCTGCTTTCCCCACACGAAAGATAAGCCCCTTGCATAAACAACATAGACCAAACAGAGTTACAGAGAAGAATGACTCTTGATTGACTTTGGTGTGATAGAGAAATACAGTGTTTACTTCTATGGTTCTGTTTTGGCTTTCAACTGATAGTTTACAGAGTTTTGATAAATAAATGGGCTAATTTTTAAGAAAGTTAAACAGAATAATAATGAATAAACTAGGACCTTGAGGCCCAGTTAAAAAAGATTGTTAATTTTGATTCAGTGGATTAGAGTATATAAATGAACTTTAAAAGATTAAACAGTGACTCAAATGCCAAAAAAAAAGGTGAAAGATAATGTAAACAGCATGCATATGAACTTGCTCATTAATTGAGATAAATGGGTGGAAAAGACAATTGCATGTGTGAAAAGGTTGTTTCTGTATTAGCTTGAAATAACAAAGTGTTTTAGCAATGCAATTCAAATAATTCAAAGAGAAAATCAGCCCTGTTAATGGAAATGAGATAGAAAAGAAGTAGGAAGATCAAACAGCAGGTTTAGATACTCAATTAGTGTTTCTTTTATTCCCAGCAATTAGCAAAATACCTAGCTTGCCAGGAATTATCAACACTTATTTGTCAATAAATGTTTGTGAAATGAATGGAAGGAAAAGCGAAGGAAAAAAAAAAGAAAGGAAAACCAGGGTTGAGGAATGGTAATGTGTGGGAGTTGGACTTCTTTCTTATTTTCCAGACATCCTGTAATAATAGAATAATAATTTCTAAAGGGGAAGGAAAATAAGAGGTTGGAAAGAGTCATCAGAGCCTGGGGCCAGAGGTTAACAACACTCTCATTAGATGACATTTCAAGTTCATTAAGCACCAGAAGGAAGCATAGGCATCCAGAAATGGTTTGAAATTAAAAGTTACATGAGGCCAGTGAGAACAGAGCACTAGTGAATTTTCCACATTTTAAATGGGGTGGTGTACCGAAAAAAATAATGGACAAAGTTAGAAAACTGGCTCTGATTTCCTCTTAACCACTTGACGCTCTGTGATTTGATGTTTGCCCCGTAACTACTTTGAGTTTCTGCTTTTTATTAGTAAAGTATGGGATTTCCAGGTCATGTTAGGCATTAGATGAGATTTCATGTGTGCAAATTGTTTTGCATACAGTATAATCAACAAGTCCTTGTTTAAAAAGGCATAAGTCAATTAATCAAGAAAGAATATGGGAGGCCAAGGCAGTCAGATCACCTGAGGTCAAGAATTCGAGACCAGCCTGACCAACATGGTGAAACCCCATCTCTCCTGAAAATACAAAAAACTTTAGCCAGGCATGGTAGCAGGCACCTGTAATCCCAGCTGCTCAGGAGGCTGAGGCAGGAGATCACTTGAATCTGGGAGGTGAAGGTTGCAGTGAGCCGAAATTGTGCCATCACACTCCAGACTGGGCGACAAGAGCAAAACTTCATCTCAGGAAAAAAAAAAAAAAAAAGAATAAAGAATAATTGTGTTTCACTCACATTTTGTTCTAATCACTCATCTATATTGAAATATCATGGACATAGAAGAGATAGTTTCAGCTCATACTCAGCCCTGGATTCTGCAGCTAAGATCAGTTGAAAGCTAAAGGAGTCATCATCACCATCACCATCACCATCATCATGATCAAGTCACTTTACATCTAGTGAGTGCTTGAAATGTGCCATGGACTAAGTGTTTTACATATATTATAATCTCATTGTTATTAACTCATTATCATTTTCCCCTCAACAGTTTTTTCATTATTCCCATTACAGAACTGAGAAAACTGAGGTACATAGAATTTAGGTAACTAACCCTAATCACCAGGGGGAAAAAAGTTATTTCACAGACATCCTCACAAAAATGGGAGACAATTCCTGCCCACCAGTATGTATTTGACACTGAGCTAGTTAATCAGTCCTGCCAAAATTCTTCCCTATCAAATTAATTAGAGCAATAATGGTATTTGTTTCATACAACATTTGTATTACTGCTAAAGGAGATAGCTTCTAAGTAACACACCGAATACAGTACTTGGCCCATAATAAGTGCTTAATTAATTGAAGGATGTTTTTACTATAATTATCATTATAAGTTTCTAATGCACTTAATATTTCTTAGGTATTAAGAAAAACACTTGGTGATAAAAATAAGCTCAAACATTTATAGGTAGATGACATAATTAAGATGAGATGATAGAGATGTATGGAAGACAAAAGTTGATAGCAGAGACATTGACCCCAGGTAGGACACCAAGCTAACAGAAGTAATTAAGTTCCTAATGACATCTTGTTCCTGATTTCAGTGAAAATTGTGCTTATGGAATGACTAAAAATGTAATTCCCTACTGTCAACTTGCTATCTGAGCACCTGGGTTGATGTAGCTATATCTGTTATTTACGCGGAGTGATTACTGTGTCTACTGTTGGAGTGTTCTTAGAAATGATAGCAAAGCTAAAAATAAAGTGACCACTTAAAGCAAAACCGCATCTCACCATGATGATGATAAAACATTATAATCCGTGTTCCTTGTTGAATAAAAATATCTTTTTATAATACAGCAAACCACATTTCAATCATACTGCTTTGCCATCAATAATAAAAAGGTCAGCCACACGTTTAATATCAACTTTAACCCTAGGCTATTTCCTGTTACATGAAAAATTTCAAGTGAAACAAGATCAGAGGAAAGGCAATACTTCTCTTTATTGTAAGAGGTTCTACAGAAAAGAGATATTATGGCAAAGAAGATAATTATTCATTAATGAATTTATTTGCAGAATTAATCTAAGGTACAATGTATTTGTAAATGCCCAAATTATTCTGCATAGGATCAAACAGTACTATTAAGAAGATTGCATACTTAAAAAAAAATAAAACATGGAGATCCAAATAAAACATAGATACTTAGAAATTACTACATCTGGCCGGGCGTGGTGGCTCACGCCTGTAATCCCAGCACTTTGGGAGGCCGAGGTGGGCAGATCACGAGGTCAGGAGATCAAGACCATCCTGGCTAACACAGTGAAACCCTGTCTCTACTAAAAATACAAAAAAATTAGCCGGGCTTGGTGATGGGCACCTGTAGTCCCAGTTACTGAGGAGGCTGAAGCAGGGGAATGGCATGAACTCGGGAGGCAGAGCTTGCAGTGAGCCCAGATCGCGCCACTGCACTCCAGCCTGGGCGACAGAGCGAGACTCCGTCTCAAAAAAAAAAAAGAAAAAGAAGTTACTACATCCATAAAGCAATATTGTCCCACATGGCTCTGTTAATTCTGGGATCTCCTAGAAACCAATATCCCCAGAAAGATCTCAGTGATATCAGGAGAATATCATAAAATATTCCCAGTTTCCTCAAATTACATGCGGGTTGCTTAAGAAAATGTTAAGAGAATCTCCAAATCTGGCTGGCTTGAGCCATAAAGTGGGTGGTAAGTCAAACACTGCCAGTATCTGCTCTCCTCTCTGCAAGAAAATTAGACACTACTGGAAGCGACATTAAATAGCAGCAACCTGGACGTAAAAATAGAGCACCGCTGAAATAATAGCTTGCAGTTTTGCAACACCCTGCTCTTTTCTCATGAGCTGACTTCTAGTGGATTGAAAGAGTTAACTTTCAAATTTGCCTGAATCACTGAGGGCTAAGAATAAAAAAAATGTTTTAAGTTGAGTAAAAACTCAGATATACCTAAAAATGGGTTAACAATAAAATAATATTTTTCAGCTGGGTACCTATTTCTTCATTTTTCTTCTAAAGACTAAACCTGATGGAACGTTGGATGTGTATTTTGGAAAAAGTGAAACACTACTTATTCCCCTTACTTGGCTCATTATAGATGACTTATTCTTTAATTTGGTAAAGTTTTTGATGCTTTCCAGACAGCCTAAAGACATGGAAGCTACTTCATATATAATATTTTAATCTCCATTAAGCAATTTGCCAATAAAACTTTTAACAGGGATTCATGTTTTCCACTAACATGTAATGAGGTATAACAAGTACATTCCAGCATTAAACAAAGTATGTAAAAGTAGAGGAATAATGATTTTGTGTGGGATTAAGACACATATTGCTACTAAAGAAAGGGAATCTGCATGAAATCATATGGAGGTAAATTCTTGCATCATGTTATTAAATGTTTATCCACCCACAGTCTAATTCTAGTCTTGTCTAATTTAGATTAGATAACATGAATATTTTAAAGGAAAAACACTAATTGTTTTTTACTGAAAGTTGGCTGTCTGGACTAGACTCATAGAAATGCTTTTTAGAAATGTGCTCTTACGGTTTTTGCTATTTGTTTGTGTATTTACATAAAGGAATTAAGAAACATAATATCTTCCCTGGGCTTTCTGGCTTCTAAGCATATGTCAAGTCAGTTTGGTCGTAAAGAGCATTCCTCTTCATTTATCACTGAGCTGTGTGCCAGTGGGAAGGCGCCCAAATGTACACAATTTAGTTTGCTAGGTAATTTGTTCTTTGACATTATCATTAAGAAAATGGGTTTCATTTTGGCTTCCACAAATGCTCTTTGTAATGAAGATTTACTTTGACATGAGTTGAAGAACTATATTAAGTTGTGCTCCTGTGATCATGTCTGTTTCCAGGTTGTTGATCGTCTTTTCTAGTTGCCTAATTCAATTCAGTAAGTGTTTTGGGGGCACATACGATGTACAAGTGTGAGTCCCCAAGAGTAGGCTAAGATACAGTAAGATTTCATATCATTACCAGATATTCAGGTTTCCAACATATGCATCTTACTAAGGTGACCCTCACCACGTAGCAACAAAATGTGCCAAATGTAGAGGTGTCTTCTTCTTCGTTCATATGCTGAGAGAGCATTTTAGAAACTGTTAAGTTGCGTTTAATTAACATGAGATTATTTCCCTTACATCTTCTCTTCCTTCCCACAGTGACTAAGCACATGCTATGCGATAGCTGTTTTATGTAAGTGTGTGTGTATATTTATATACATACATATGCACACATATATATTTGGGTGCATGTGTCTCTCTGTGTGTATATATATGTGTATATATATATATATATATATATATATACACACACACACACATGTGTGTGTGTGTGTGTGTGTGTCCATGTGTGTGTATGTGTATAAAGCAGTAGGTGGAGAACACGACCTAGAAATTTAACATGGGATGGCTAATCAGGATGAAAAACTCTAAGGGAAACCAGAAGTAATTCTAGCTATCTAAGGAAGAAGTAAGAAAAGAAAAGTAAAATGGCAGTACTGTTATGTCTTTATTTTCCCTTCCATTAAATATTCAGGATATTTAATAGAATATCCTAGAGTCAATCATGTGTTCATTTATTTATATCAATATATATGTGTACACACACACACACTCTCACAACCCAGAAGTCAATAGCGTGTTCATTTATATATATGTGTGTGTTTACATATACATATTTATGTGTGCATGTATTTGTATACATATGTGTATATATGTGTGTGTATACACACATATATATATCACATGTATTCTCAAAGGACTGCTTTATGTATACACACACATATATGTATCACATGTATTCTCAAAGGACTGCTTTATATATACACACACACATATATGTATCACATGTATTCTCAAAGGACAAAATAAGATACCTGCATTTGATGGGATGAATACAAAAGTTGCCATCTTTCCAAGTACTGTGAGTGAGGGATTCAGGAAAAGTGGGAATTTGAGTGAGAATTCCCCATTTATGTGCATGTACTAATGTAATGCTATTTATATGTTATTTTATGTATCTTAAACTTCTATTCAGATAACATTTTAGGAAAACTATGGCTTAGACAATTCCTAAGAATACCTGTTCCAAATTTCAGGAATTCCCCAGGAGAGTTAGGGAAGGAAAGGAAACTGAAAGAACTGACCTAAGAATCTCATAGAAATTGTGCTGACATTGGTGACATAAGATAAATATCCAAACTGGCACCTTTTCTTTGCTACGTACATGAGACTGGTGTTTGTGTAATTGCGAGGGGATGCTGTGGTGAGGGGGAATGGGGCAAAAAGAATGGTTTGGCCCCACCAGACATATTGCAGAAGAACTGCAGTCGTGTTTATGCATCAGCTTAACCTTAAAATTACTGCTGTAGAACATTTTAAAATTTAAATTATTTTTAGCATGAATTCTGAAATCCAGAGATAAGACTTTCTTAGCAAATGGCACACAATATCATAATACTTTAAATTATTTTTAGCTATGTCTTCTGATATTTAACTCTGTATTTCTAAACAATATGATTGTACTATGATTTTTTTTTCTATTTTAAACATTATCTGTTAACTTCCTGCTACAGAAAGTGACTATCTCCCTTAAATTATTTTCCCTGCTCTCCCTAATCTCACTCCTCACAGAATCCTATGCACTGAAAATCATTGCTTCATATGTTTTGGTTAATTTAATGTTTACTATTTGCATTATTTTGACTACATGAAAAAAATTAGCCACAGCTTATGGAGTATACTATAATTATATTTTCCTTCTTGTAAAACTATTTTTCCTGTGGTTGATAATTGATATCCCTAGTGTTCTCTATAACTATTAATAATTCTTCCATCCAAATTGCTTGACTTTATTATAAAATTCCTCTCAATATGTCATATATAATTTATTATTTCCCTTTTTTTAGAGACATCTCCCAGAGACAACTTTAGGAGTTATGTGAAATGATTGACCACTGGACTTGCTACACAACTTTTATCCTGAAAATTCTATACCTTCCTCACTTGTGCTGAATTCTTGGCTTCCTTTTGCCATGTCTTTCCCACTGTGTTTATTTTTTAATTTGGGGTTAGCTATCTCTCCAGTAGCTTTTGAGAAGAGGTTAAAAAAAAAGTAAGACTTTTCATATAATTTTAAGGCAGACATAATTTCCCATCCAAATTTTGAAGTCGTATTTGCCTGTCGTCTTCCCTGCACTGTTACTTTTGACAAATCTGATACCATTGATTCCCAGCTCCTAATATATCATCTCTTTTTCTCTTTCTCCGATTACATTTAGAACCATTTGCTTACCTCCTATGTTCTGAAAATTCACAACGACATTTCTTACGTGGTCTATTGTTCTTTCTGGTACCATTGCATCCTCATGAGTTCCCTTCAATCGGAAGACTTGAATCATTTGTTCTGGAACACATGCTAAAATTGTTTTCTTTGAAAAATTTCTTCTCTTAATGTTCTCTGAAGGCCGGGCGCGGTGGCTCACGCCTGTGATCCCAACAGTTTGGGAGGCCGAGGCAGGCGGATCACCTGAGGTCAGGAGTTTGAGATCAGCCTCACCAACATGAAGAAAACTGTCTCTAGGAAAAATAAAAAATTATCCTGGCATTGTGGCACATGCCTGTAATCCCAGCTACTCGGGAGGCTGAGGCAGGAGAATCACTTGAACCCAGGAGGCAGAGGTTGCAGTGAGCTGAGATGGCGCCATTGCACTCCAGCCTGGGCAACAAGAGTGAAACTCTGTCTTAAAAAAAAAAAAAAAAAAAAAATTCTCTGAAATGTTTCTGATAAATGTTACCCTCCAAGGTAACTAGTGAGTTTTCGAGTTGCAAGCAATTCTCTGGAATTTATTGTTACCTCTGCTATCTTTTCCAAAGAGGTAATTCTAGAATAGTAGAAATCTGAAGCCAGAAAGAAAGGAAGATTTCTTCTATCCAGTAGGAAACTGTACCTCAAATACCATTTGACTTGAACGTTCTGGAGGCAGAAAACTTACCACAGATAGATAGATATTTACCACAGATAGATATCTATGATAGAACTTTCTTTGTAACTATTATCCTTGTCTACAGGAGTTTCTCCCACAAAATTGGTAAGCTTCAGTAGCAAAGGTAGACTATACAATTCAGGTTTATATTCCTAATGTTTAGACAAGTTTCTGCCACTCACTGGGTACTAAATAAATGCTTGATGAATAGTGATTATGAACTAACTACTGTCAGTTCTACAGACTGAACACTTGATTTCAGCCAGTGGTACTTCATCTGCACCTTGCTCTCTCAGGCTGTAGAATCAGCAGTAGTAATTATTATCAAGCTCTTCTTTTCTAAGAACAATTGGCAGGCCAAATTATAAGGTGGTCTTCTATTTCAGAGACAAGTGCAAAAATAGAGCATGATCATTTGATATCAAATATAGATCAGTGATTTTCAAACTAGAATGTCTCCAATTGTTAAATACGGTAACATTTAATTTGTTTAATTTATTATTATTTTTTTTTGCTCTATCACCCAGGCAAGAGTGCAGTGGTGCGATCATGGCTCACTGCAGTCTTGACCTCCTGGGCTCAAGCAATCCTCCCACCTCAGCCTCCCAAGTTGCTGGGTCTACAGGTGCACGCCACCACTCCTGGCTAATTTTTGCATTTTTTGTAGAAACATCATCTCTCTATGTTACCCAGGCTGGTCTGAAACTCCTGGCTCAAGTGATCCGCACACCTCAGCCTCCCAAAGTGCTGGGATTACAGGCGTGAGCCATCATGCCCAGTAATTTTGTTCAACTTTAATGTATATATTGTATGCTATAAAACTCTTACGTTAAGGCATGGTAAGTGTTACAAAATTAACCCAAACAATGAATTCAAAATCATGCACGAATATCACAAATTTGGAAATTTCAAAAGTATTTTCCAGAATCATAGCATCATTAGAAGTACATACAGTCTCTTGTGATGTTAATGTCACGGTGCTTGAACACATGAATTTAAGAAGTGAAAAATCCCCATGGAAATTCACTTCATAAAACCAACATCCTGAAATGACCTACAATTTTCCAGATCCTCCATCCAAATCCTCAGCAACTGAGCTCATTCTGAATGAAACTGCATGAATAGGATTACAAAAGAAATGTAATAGAAATCTGAAAAATAAGTAGTCAGTTTTTTGAAATGTAATTTTAAATAAGGCGGCCCAGTGAGGAGGCTCACAGGAGAAGTCAGTCTTTTACAAAGATTTCTCTCTATTAGGGGATAGATTATAATCAATTCAGATGATTTAGGAAATGAGACCTATAAACTCAGATGTGATTGACAATAATCTAATGCTCCTATTTATTAATAATCTGGTCTTTAAATCATAGAGACAGATTTAACTATAAATCTTACAAATCAAAATTTAAATAGAAACTGGATAGGAGAGCTTGCAGACATTCATTTTTTTAAAAAAACTATCAGACCACATGACATGGAATGAATGAAGATGCCAAATGTAATAATGATCGTTATGAAAATTGAGAAATTGCATATCTTAAAAATAAAAGTGTACACTTACAGAAATGATTTGGAAATGTTGAAAGCACCTAGATTAGAAATGAAAGCAAGAAGAGTTAATGCTTTATTGGATTTATCTTATTTATAGTCTCTCTTTCCAGTTAGATTGTCTCAGAACTTGTTGAACTATCTTCCTTTGATTTGACAGAAATACTTACCTACTTGTCAAGGTTGAGTGACAGAAATTAATGAATATTATTGTCAAGTCTTAAAGGCAAAATTTTTGTGTAATTCTTTTTGCCTAAAAAGTTAATAAAACTATATTTCTTCTTAGTAAAAGAAATGAAACCAGAATTCAGGCTCAACTTAAAATATAAATGTGGCTTAGGAGTGACATCGTAATACCACTTGGTATTTCTTAAGTGAGCCGGCTCTTTCTACACTGGATAAAAATAAAGAGAGAAAAGTATCTAAAACCCTATTACCTCCCAAATGTGCCCATGAAAGCAGAAATTTTCTGGCTTGCATCTATGTGTTCTTTCCACTTTCCGTAGCCTCCCACGTTATAATGACTTATGCATGGAATTCAGAGATTTTATATTTTCTTTTGAGTGCAGAGTGAACGTCAACATGGAAAATGTGAAGGCTGACCACTTTTCAAGATGGCCACAGACCTCTGAGGGAACCAAATAGTATCCAGAAAGATACTTGGTCAGGCTGGGATACTAAAATTCTAGCACATGTCAATTTCGCCAGTTTTTACAGACTGGAAATATTTACCTCTCAGGCATGTGCTTAGTCAGAACAGCTCGAAATTTTTGTTGGGGAGTCAAGGCCCTTTACAATAGAATAGACTAAAGAGATCGAAAATCAGTATAGCAGTTAATCTTGTTTATAGCAGAAATCAGTAACTCAACCCATGTTGTGTGCTGACAGTTCTCGTGTGAAGTAAAAACTAAAAGTGTCTGCTCTGTGAATGGGATTTTTCTTTTACAGTCCAATAATATAGTTTCATTGTGGGGCAAAATTTGGGTTAGTCATTTTTATAACGTTGAGTTGACACTGGTATTATTTCTTTCCTTTAACTAAGGGTTTGAAGAATTCAAGGCAAAAATTTGGGTACCTGGTATGTGTTTGTATTCTAAGCTTGTCTTATGCATGATTTTCTTGTTTACTTAAATTTTATGGCCATATTCTAACAGAAATATGCAAACTAAACTTCTTATAAGCCAAACAGAATGAGACTGAAGTTTCTGAAGAATAGTCCCAATTGTCTTATAGTCATATCTTCCTTTATGTTCACTTGAATTCTTGCATAAAATATTTAGAGTTTACACATACTAAAGTTATGTGGGAAGAAGGGATGAAGGTAGAATCTCATAATTCCATGGAGACAATGAAGTTTGTTGACTATCTCAGTCTGGGCCTTAGAAGCAGGACCAAGTTTGAATCTCGGCTCACTTGCTACATGTATAACTTTAGTAAATTATTTAATTTCCCTTAAGCTTCAAAAATACCAGCTTGCAAGCTAGTAGTAGCAGTAGTAGGATGCATGTACAGATGTATCTGTCCTAATTGTAAATGGTATGTGTTATGCTTTCTAATCCATGCATTCTGTGTTAATATGTGCTAAACTGGATTATTCCATGTTTCTTAGTCATTCCCTGGAGTAACTACATACTGGTCGTTTGGGTTCGGTGTTAGCTCCTTCACACACTAATACATTACACATGCTGTCTCTATAGCTCAAGTTTTGCATGAACAGTTCCCTGGTGGCTTTCGCTGTGATTCAAACCAAACAGTGAATAGATTTATTTAACAACTTGTGTTCACAAAAGTAAATCAGGAAAACATGCAAGCCAGAACAATGTTTCTTCCAGTGATTTTTATTAAGTATTGCATTTCACATATTTTCTTAATGGAGTTTTAAATGTTCAGTATTTGTATCTTTATTCATTAATGGACCAATCCAACTGCCTTTAAATGCCTTTAAAAGTATTGCTGATGATTTTTATCAGAAATATTCAATGTTAAATTTCCTTCTAGTATTAGGCTTCTTAAAGAAATGACATTATTAAAGCTACTAAACAGAAGCTTTATAAAATCTCTTAACTTTGATAGCATAGATTAAGTTTTCTCTTTTCTAAGATATATTTTGACTTTAGAAACGTATCTGCGACTACATATTTTTTTGAATTTTTTAATAGGTGGTGAAATGACAGAACTCATTCGCTTCTTTGATTGGTGATTTTGAAATAATCTTTCATCAAGTTCCATCTCCTTTACCCTCATATGGAATATATCTCTCTGTCTGTTGTTAAACTACGATGACATGTCTGTAGCTATCAGAAAGAGAAGCTGGGAAGAACATGTGACCCACTGGATGGGACAGCCTTTTAATTCTGATGATCGTAACACAGCATGTCATCATGGACTAGTAGCTGACAGCTTGCAGGCAAGTATGGAAAAAGATGCAACTCTAAATGTGGACCGCAAAGAGAAGTGTGTTTCACTACCTGACTGCTGTCATGGATCAGAGCTGAGAGATTTTCCTGGGAGGCCAATGGGTCATCTTTCAAAGGATGTGGACGAAAATGACAGCCATGAAGGTGAAGATCAGTTTCTTTCTCTGGAAGCCAGCACAGAAACACTAGTGCATGTTTCTGATGAGGATAACAATGCTGATTTATGCCTTACAGATGATAAACAGGTTTTAAATACCCAAGGGCAGAAAACATCAGGCCAACATATGATCCAAGGAGCAGGCTCCTTAGAAAAGGCACTGCCCATCATACAAAGTAACCAAGTTTCTTCTAACTCCTGGGGAATAGCTGGTGAAACTGAATTAGCACTGGTAAAAGAAAGTGGGGAGAGAAAAGTTACTGACTCTATAAGTAAAAGCCTGGAGCTTTGCAATGAAATAAGCTTAAGTGAAATAAAAGATGCACCCAAAGTAAATGCAGTGGATACTTTGAACGTGAAAGATATTGCACCTGAGAAACAATTGCTTAACTCTGCTGTAATTGCTCAGCAACGAAGGAAACCTGACCCCCCTAAAGATGAAAATGAAAGAAGCACCTGCAATGTAGTACAAAATGAGTTCTTGGATACTCCTTGCACAAACAGAGGACTGCCATTATTAAAAACAGATTTTGGAAGCTGCCTTCTGCAGCCTCCTTCCTGCCCCAATGGAATGTCAGCTGAAAATGGCCTGGAGAAGAGTGGTTTTTCACAACATCAAAACAAAAGTCCACCAAAGGTCAAGGCAGAAGATGGCATGCAGTGTTTACAATTAAAGGAGACCCTGGCCACCCAGGAACCCACAGATAACCAAGTCAGACTTCGTAAGAGAAAGGTAAGACATATGCACAGATTCTCTGGCTTTTGAAATTTTGTAAATATCCTTGGATTTATCAGTTATCATTTTGCTTGGATTAAAAAGATATGAAGATGGTTCTTTTGCCCTGTTATGCAGATGTGTAATTCAACGACTACCCACTTGGTCAAACCATCAAAATATGTAAAAATTAAAGAATAATAATCTATCCGTTTCACTAATAATGTGTATAATGGTTTATGAATATTCTATTTCAGAATTGTGTTGAAAACAGGATTGGTATCCCTTTCTTTAGTTGGAATTAAATAGCCACTAGATAGCTCATAGACATGCAATTCAAGGCATTCTGTAGAGTGATTTCTAATTCTTATAAAGAAAGTCATGGTACTGTTATAGCATTTATTTGGGCATATTTCTTTTTCTCTTCAAAAAGACTATGTTTTCATAAGAAAAAAAGGTGGTATAAATCACATATTTAAAATAATCCCCTCACATATACAAAGGCTAAACTACTCCCACCCCCAAAATGTGCTGGTGCCATTTTAAGTGATACCCTGGCACACTCACCATCAATATATATATCATAGTCTCTGTTTCTTGCCACAACTGTTACTTAACTGTCAACCAGAAAAGGCTAATAACCACAATTATGTTTTATGCTACAGCCCCTTTGACTAATTCTAAAGATGCCATCCTCCCCTGCGAAGCTTTCAAGTGAGAGAAGCAAGGGCTAAGATGGTGCTACCTGAATTATGGTTTAGCAAGTGAACCCTTGACCAAAACCTGTCTTTTCTATAGAATTTCCCCACATTTTTCCAAAAACTGTAGTGAGTTATAGTCCTGATATAAGTCCAAGCACAGTTTCTTCTTCTATAAACCCCACATGGCCAATGGCATGGAAGAAACCCTGCATTTTTGACACTGGTATGCACTGATTAAAACATATATCCTTGCCCCTCTCTTGATACATTCATCCATAACTGCAATTCTCCTAAACACAAAAGTAATGTTCTTTGTTCTGTTCAACTGGGGCTATCTACCATGAGAGAGAAAAAAAAATCTACTACTTTCTTTGTAGTGAAGAAATCTGGTTTTCATAGACTGTGGTTTTGCTTACAAACTAGATCAGTAATGTGTCGTGAGTTAGTTTAAATGAAGTCAAAGACTTTACAGCAAAAATCAGTGTCCACAAGCTATATGCTAACAGAGCATTTTGTGCTTCTGGCAGACTCTCACTTCCTTACATAAGTTTTATGAAAATGTTAATGCTCCATAAAGTTGTTATGATTAAACTGTTTAGATCACTTTTTCAAAAACTTTCATATATCCTATCAAATCTGTTTGAGGGAATGCTGTAATGACATAAGACAGTATTAACTGACCTATGGCATAGCTCCCCTAAAATAAAACAAACTCCACCCAACTGCCAATGGAAACATTAAACATTCCAGAAACATATACTCACCACTTGAACATTTATATCAATACTAAGAATGCTGGAAAGAATTTACTCTTGGACATGTCACTATAGCATGGTTGCCTTTTGAGAGTTATAATTATATCTCATTTACAAGTTCTAACTTAAATTTTCTATTTTAAGCATTCTGTCATTCTAAAGTGTTGTGACATTGCCTGATGGAATATTTACTTTAACTCTACAACCCATTTAGGATGCCTTCTAATAAATAGATTAAATGAAAACTTTTAGGTTGGGAATTTATCCTAGAAAACTACAATTATGTGAGAAGCCCTTAGAACTAAAACGTGTAAGAATTTTTGTTTTATGCATTATTGGATGAGTGTTAAAATACCATTGAATTGGCAATTCGCCATTTTTAGAAATTTACCAGAAGAAACAATAGAGCATATTCATAGAAAGATATGTACAGAGGTGTTCATCACTATATTGCATGTTACTGAAAGAAAAATGAAACAGTCTACATTTGCATCAATAAAGAATTTGTTTAGGCCAGGCGCGGTGTCTCATGCCTGTAATCCCAGCACTTTGGGAGGCCGAGGCAGGCGTATCACGAGGTCAGGAGATCGAGACCATCCCGGCTAACATGGTGAAACCCTGTCTCTACTAAAAATACAAAAAATTAGCCAGGCATGGTGGCAGGCGCCTATAGTCCCAGCTACTCGGGAGGCTGAGGCAGGAGAATGGCATGAACCCGGGAGGCGGAGCTTGCAGTGAGCCGAGATTGCACCACTGCACTCCAGCCTGGGTGACACAGCGAAACTCCATCTCAAAAAAAAAAAAAAAAAAAAAAAAAAAAAAAAGGAAATGGTCTAAGAATTTGTTAATTATTTATCTATTGTATGGAATGCTGTGCTTTCATTAAAAACATGGAGTCAGATCCAAGCACACTAACTTTTAAAGAGGCTCATAATATAGTACTGAAAAACAACAGTAGCAGACCAATATGTATAGACAGCCAAATCTTAATGTCAAAATGTGTGTGTGTAGGTATGTGTGTGTGTGTGTGTGTATATATATATGAATGTAGATAGTAATATAAACCTCTCTGTATGGCTGAATAATATGTGAAATCCTGGCTAAATAGGCACAAAATTGTTAACAGCAATTACATTGGATGAGT